>NC_000003.12:195970566-196121566 GCF_000001405.40 Homo sapiens
CGGCTCCCTCTCCTCCACGCTGTGACTCATCCATGACAGCCAGCGACGGTCAGGGCACGGCGGTCATGCCCAAGCACACACAAGTGAACCACAGAAGGCTGTCCTGGATGCTAAGCAGTCACTAATTCTGCCCTGGCCTGCTGACCTTCTATGTGGAGAAGAAGTGCACTTCTGGTCTCTTTCATATTCTTGATACAGTGAGGAGTATGTCCTACTGCTGTTTACCTCCAGATACTGGTGCAGCCTCGTATGTTTATTGCAGCACTAGTCACAATAGCAAAGTCATGGAATCAACCTAAGTGCCCATCAACGGACGACCAGATAAAGAAAATGTGGTACATATATACCATGAAATACTACTTGGCCATAAAAAAAGAATGCAATCATGTCTTCCGCAGCCAGACGGATGGAACGGGAGGTCACTATCCTAAGTGAAGTGACTCAGAAGGTCAAGTGTCACACATTCTCCCTTGGAAGTGGGAGCTGAACAGTGAGTACACATGGACACACGGAGTGGACTAACAGAGACTGGGGGCTCCAAAAAGCGGGAGGGGTGGGGATGAGCAATTACCTGCTGAGTACAACACACACGACTTGGGTGACGGGTACATGAAAAGCCCAGACTCCACCACCTCCCAGTACATCCACACAAAGCTGCACCTGCATCCCCCTAGATCTGTTTTTAAAAAAACAAAACCAGTGCAGGGCCAGGTATGCAGCCAGCCTGCTCACTCCAGAGCGAGTCCAGGCTCTTACCTTCTGCATGCTGAGTCGCAGTTCCGATGTTCTTATGCTTCTTCCATCAGCAAATCTCAATTTGTCAACATTCGTGACAGATTCTTCCCCAGCATTTGGTTTAATTGGAGGGACTTTATCTCCTAAAACAACAACAAAAAGAGCTAGAATTTAACTTTTGAAAACCGTTTTAAAAAAACAAATGGATTTAGTACGACACACAAAAATGTAGCATAGCCGCTCAAGGAGCCTGGAAACTGTGTAAGTCTCCTGAGCTAACACACTGCCAACCCACCCTACATCTGAGGCCATCTGTTGAGTTGGGGCCAATTTTAAAGAACAGACATAAAAGGCAAAACTGTTGGCACACAGTAGATATCCATTAAGTGATCTTAGAGTGAATAAACTAGAAATCATCTCTAAAATTAAAAAATTAAAATGTAGGCCGGGTGCAGTGGCTCACGCCTGTAATCCCAGCACTTTAGGAGGCTGAGGTAGGTGAAGCACTTGAAATCAGGAGTTCAAGAGCAGCCTGGCCAACGTGGCAAAACCTCATTTCTACTAAAAACACAAAAATTATCTGGCATGAGAACTGCTTCAACCCGAAAGATGGAGGTTGCAGTGAGCCGAGATCGCGCCACTGCACTCCAGCCTGGGCAACAGAGCGAGACCCTGTCTTACAAAAAAAAAAAAATTAAATGTATACAGATTTATATACATTAAGTGTATATAAATGTCACTCCACTAACGGGAAAAAATGACACCTTCCAGATGGTGGTCCCAAGGGGCCGGCCGCCCCACTGTCCTTCACATTAGGGGGAGGAAGGTGGCTGCTGTGTGCTTGCAAGTCACCTGCTGATTTGGACTATTGTGTGCTCTCATCTATACTTCAAGATTTGCAATTTTTTTTTTTTTTGAGATGGAATTTTGCTCTGTAGCCCAGGCTGGAGTGCGGTGGCACCATCTCGGCTCACTGCAACCTCCACCTCCTGGTTCAAGCAATCCTCCTGCCTCAGACTCTGGAGTAGATGGGACTACAGGAGTTTGCAACCATACCCGGCTAATTTTTGTATTTTCAGTAGCGATAGGGTTTCACCATGTTGGCCAGGCTGGTCTCGAACTCCTGACCTCAGGTGAGCCACCTGCCTCAGCCTCCCAAAGTGCTGGGATCACATGTGTGAGCTGCTGCACAAGGCCAAGATTTGCAACTCTTGTGTTTCCAAGATGTCTTGAAAAAAGTTTTAAAGGTTTTTTTTTTTTTATAAAATTATATATATTTTTTCTTCAATAAGTAACACATGCAGGAGATAGGAGGTATGAAATGCAGGAGTCCAACAGGCCCTGTCCCGCCTACCGCCTCTCCTCGGGACCAGGCTGTGGGTCTCTTGACGGTCTGCTCAAATGCTTCTAGGCTTGCTGGTGTCTCTTTTCCTTTTGTTTATAACGCTTTAAAAATTGATCATCCATTAAAATTGACTTTTTTCTTTCGGTGGACAGTTCTACAGTTTCTTTTTTCTTTTTTTTTTCTTTTTTTGAGACAGTGTCTCCTCCCTCTGTTGCCCAGGCTGGAGTGCAGTGGTGCGATCTCGGCTCACAGCAACCTCCGCCTTCTAGGCTCCAACAATCCTCCCACCTCAGCCTCCCAAGTAGCTGGGACTACCCAAGTGTGAGCCACCATGCCCAGCTAATTTTTGTATTTTTGGTAGAGACGGGGTTTCACCACCTTGCCCAAGCTGGTCTCGAACTCCTGAGCTCAAGCAATCGGCCTGCCTTGGCCTCCCAAAGTGGTGGGATTATAGGTGTGAGCCACTGCACCCGGCCTCAGTTCTACCGATTTTAACACATGGATAGATGCATGTAACCACTTTGGGAGGCTGAGACAGGAGGATCACTTGAGGTCAGGAGTTCAAGACCACCCTGGGCAACACAGGGAGACCCTGTCCCTAGAATACATTTTTAAAAATTAGCCAGATGTGGTGGCGTGCACCTGATCGTACCACTGCACTCAAGCCTGGGTGACAGAGGGAGACTATGTCTAAAAATACACATATATATATTTTTTGGGGGGGTCGGGGGTTGGGGGAGAAGTAGGGATGCTACAAGCATTTTTTCTTTCCTTTTCATTTTTAAAAATTAAAGCGTAAAGATACAGTAAAATAAACTCATCATTTTTAATGCAGGTTTTTCAAACTTTGACACACACAGAGCTGTGTCTGTAAGCCTCAGCACAATCAGGAAACAGCCTCTGGCAACCACCAATCCCTTTTCTTCCCTAGATGTGCCTTGTCCAGAATGTCCTATCAATAGGACCACAGGCGTGCAGCCTTTTGAGTCCGACTCCACAGCATTCTGCGTGAGATGCTGCATGTGTGAGCGGTTTCTCAGATGTCAAGTATAGGGTATTCTCACAAAATGTTCTTTTCTGCATTTTCAAAGAAAGAGAAGCTCAAAATTTCTACACTGCTCTGAGAGAAGTGGTATCAGACCTCACTGCGACAAAGTGCAGGGCTATGGAGTGAGACAAGCACAACCTGTGGCGTCAGGAACGAGGCACCTGAACCCCGCCTTCGCCGATGATCAGCAACGGCTGGGGATGAGACGCCGGCTCTGCATGTGCTGGCCTCCTGAGCTGTCGTCAGATCCACAGAGACACAGTGTCTGAAGTAGCTACCCTTTTAATACTGCCTGTACCTTTCTAACTACAGATAGAAAAGGGCGCACGTTTATAAGGTACGGCGGTGCTAGTTTTTATTTCACTTGAGTCCATACAAAAAGCAAAAAGCGCCTGTTCTATAAAAACAGCAGAAATGATGCTAAACAGTTAACACCAGAGAAAGCTAACGGGAAGAACATGGGCCTGGGGTCCCACCATCCTTGCCACGCAAACATCCACCAGTGCCTCATCCACCTCACACTGTTCTGAGCACACGAGGCTGCATAACAACCGTGAGGATCTCTGGAGGTGGGAACGATGCTAACTGTCCTGTTCTTCGCGCCCTAAGAACAGGGCACTAAGACCCTGTCTCAAAAAAAAAGAAAAAAGACTAACCTCCTGCGCCTTCTCAAATAGTCTGGGTCCTGAAGAAAACACTTACCAGGCCTGCACGACTCTGCGATGCTCAGGGCACATGCCTGACCAGACAACCAGGTCCAATAGCGAGTTTGCCCCGAGGCGGTTGACACCATGTGCAGAGGCACAGGCGGCCTCCCCACAGGCGTACAGGCCGGGCACAATCTGATCCTGGCCATTCCCGTGCCTCAGGACCTGTGGAAAGGAAGATTTCAGGTGAAATGTCAAGATGCCCATTCCTCCACAAGCCCACCTCCCTCAACAGGGTGTCTGTGCTGCAGGTCAGAGAAAGAGAGGGAAGTAGGTCGGGCATGCAGTGGCTCACGCTTGTAATCCCAGCACTTTGGGAGGCTGAGGCGGGTGGATCACCTGAGTTCAGGGGTTCGAGAACTGTCTGGCTAACATGGTGAAACCCCGTCTCAACTAAAAATACAAAAATTAGCCAGGCATGATGGCGGGTGCCTGTAATCCCAGCTACTCGGGAGGCTGAGGCAGAAGAATCGCTTGAACCTGGGAGGCGGAGGTTGCAGTGAGGCGAGATCGCGCCATTGCACTCCAGCCTAAGTGACAGAGCGAGTCTCCATCTCCAAGAAACAAAGAGACGGAAGTAAAGACCGTATCTAAGAAGGAAGTAAGGACCATAGCTACTCTTCTTCAGAGGGAAACTTCCGAATGTATACCCCAGTTTCCCCTCTGCCCCTGAGCACCTGCTGTTACAAGCAGGTCAGAGGACCTCCAATGTCAGCATCTGCGACTGTCCCCCGTGTCCCATGTTCCCGAGGCCCTCACCACCTGTGCTCCAGCTCAGACCCAGGAGCACGGCAGGTGGAGGAACATCAGCAGGGGAGACTGATGTTCCAGACTCTTCTACCCCCTGTTCACCTCTTCATCTATGCGGGGAAAGTAACAGCTTCCACCCACCTCGCCCAACAAGGAGGCTAAGTGACTGACAAGCTCTGTGTGAACCGCAAACCACTCAAAGGTATGAATTATAAAGATCCCTCGATGTACAAGATCATTAGAAATAGCAATTATAAAGATCCCTTGATGTATAAGCTCATTAGAAATAACACAAGATCATATAGGAAAGTAATTATAAAATGGGAAAAGCTGCAAATGATGTATCTATGACAGTTTACTTAGGAGGAATAAATTATTAAGCCTCCTTCCATCCTCCACTGATAGAAATTTCAAGTGCAATTTAGAAAACAATACAGTACTTTCTTTAAGGAAACATCTGTCTCTTCCTCTAAGATCTAAAGAGACAACTGCAAGATGGGCCCCGTTGTCCCAGCCTTCTTTCCAGCTGTGGGAGAGAAGCCAGCACCATCACCTGCCCCTCGTAGCTGGTGGGAATGCCGTCCATGTTATAATGCACGGTGGGGAGGACAGGGATCGGCTCCTTCGTGACGTCCACACCAGCGAAGATCATGGCTGTCTCTGAAATGCCGGGCAAGGGCATGGCCAGCTGCTCTGGAGGTAGGTGGTGCAGCTGCAGGTAGACGTGATCTTTCTCAGGGCCACAGCCTCTGGTAAGACAGAACACCATCACATAAGGCAGAGAATGGCAACGGCAGCAGACCTGAGAATACGTCATCTTGGAAGCGTGTGAGTTGCAACATGTTTTGATACTGAGGAAAATTTCCCCTCATGTACGGCCACCCTCCCATCAAATCTTTTCTAAGCATCTACTGTGTGCCAGGGACAATCCTAGGTGCTGGGACACAGCTGAGAACCAGAACAAATACTCTGCCCTTACTGAACTCACACTCGTCTCAGGGATCACAGCCTGCAGCGGCTGTCCTTGGTAAAAGCATTAGGCCTCTATGCCAAATAGTCGTCCCTGCGTATCCGTGGCAGGTTGGGTCCAGGACCCCCACGGACACCAAAATCCGTGGATGCTCAAGTCCCTAATATAAAATGGCAGAGTATTTGCATATAACCTATGCACATCCTCCTCCATATTTTAAATCATCCTCATTTCAAGTTTTACATTTAAGTTGTACAGCAACTCCAGGATTACTCATAGTACCTAATACAATGTAAATGCAGGTAAATAGCTGCTACACTGTGTTGCTTAGCGAACAATGACAAGGAAAAAAAAAAGTCTGCGTGTTTGTAAGGATGCAATTTTATTTTCAGTACATAGTTGGTTGAAACCACACATGTGGAACCGATGGATACGGAGGGCCACCATATTCCAAAAAACCATCCGACTTCTTTTTTTTTTAATATAAAAATGTAAAACCTCTAAAGGCCACACCAGATACCAGCAGATATTTAGCAAGTGTTATCACATTAAAGAACAGGGTCAGGCAATGAAAGAGCTGCAAACTGTTCTTCTGAAAGGCAAATGACCCACACACTTTGAAAGCTGTCGAAAAACATCTGTGGGTATCAGACACCACACCCAAGGCTCACACGCCGACTTCAGGTTGGGTGCGTGTCTCTCTCTTCCATACTCCGTCACATACTCACACACACTAAGAGAAACTCTGTTCCACAGATTTGAGAAAGAAACTGGCTAAAATTTTCAAAATGTAGGTCTTTAGGAAAATATCGCAGACTAACAGATGCCTGCCGGCAGCTGAGAGAGGTGGCTGTGCACATGTGCCTGCACACGAAGGTGAGGGCGAGTGGTGCTGAAACTCACAGAAGCAACCCCGGCCCGTGTGCCCGCTCAGACAGTGCTGGTGGTAAACCACACGCACCTTCCTTCGCGGATCTCCAGAGTCATCCACCGAGACACCACATCTCTAGACGCCAGGTCCTTCGCGATGGGGGCGTATCGCTCCATAAACCTTTCGCCTTGACTGTTAATGAGAATGCCTCCCTCTCCACGACATCCTTCCGTAATGAGACAACCAGCACCATATGTGCCTGCAAAAAACCACACATTTATAACCTAACAATTGCTGGGTCTCTATTTCAAATGCATTACTTTTTTTTACAAGATATTTTTTGGGGGAGAGACAAAAAAGATATGCAGAAGGCATTATATGCAAAACTGAACAGAAAGAACAGTTAAGATACAGTAGAAAGTCTGGATAACAAAAAGCACTGACAAGGCTGACAGCTGCAGCAGAGGCTGGGGCAGAGTGGCGTCCCCAGAGAGGAGAAAGGCCGGCCCACAGACCTCTGGCCAATACTCTGATTACAGCCCGGTGTACGTTGGATGCCTCAAATTTTGTTTTAATTTTTGAACATTCTTTTGCGCTACGATACTGTGGTGACTAGTTAAGAATACTAGCTTGGAGAATTCATATCTAAGTTACCCAAACAGTGGCAAGGACAGTAATAATGATTATTTTAGTTCATCTTTACACTGCACTTGCTATGGGCAGTTCTAGCTGCTTTCCACATATTAAACTCATTTAAGTCTTACAACAACTCTGGGTAGTACGACCCCCTTTCTCAGTGACAAGCAAATTAACGCTTGGTAACATCCAGTCATGCAGCTGAGGACAGAGCTCAAACCCAAACCTGGGCAGTCCGGCGGTCTGTGCCCCAAACAGCGGCTCTGTGACTCCTCAGTGCGATGAGAAACAGGGCGTGCCAAGCTCTCGAATTTTAACAAAGGAGATCAAAAACCCTAAACTAAATGTATTTCAAAAGCTACAATTTTTATTAGTATACAAAAAGGGCAATCTTGCTTTCAAAACAAGAATGTGATTCTTGCATCTCACCTGCCTTTTGATTTTCTAAGTTTCCATGCTCTCTTTTCTGTGGTTACTTCTCACATATTGAAGACAAAGCATGAGAAGTGGAGCTCTAAGCAAATTACAGAGGGAATTCAGGGGCTCACTGACATTTTACTGATTAAAAACAGTAATAAAAAATACAACAGGCCGGGTGCAGTGGCTCATGGCTATAATGCCAGCACCCTGAGGGGCCGAGGCAGGAGGATCGCCTAAGCCCTGGCGTTTGAGACCAGCCTGGGCTTAAAATGGTGACACCCTGTCTCTACCAAAAACAAAAAAACCCTCAAAAATTAGCTGGGCATGCTAACACATGCCTGTAGTCCCAGCTATTTGGGAGGCTGAGGTGGAAGGATCGTTTGAGCCTGGGAGACAAAGGCTGCAGTGAGTCGAGATTGCTCCACTGCACTCCAGCCTGGGCAACAGAGCAAGACCCCATCTCTAAACAAATTAAAAAAAAAAACCTACAACAAATCCATTTCTTATTTTCATCCCTTCCAGGGATCAGAAAGCTGACACTGACAGAGAAAGAAAAGACACAGGTCTGGTTCTTTGGCACCACTTCAGGGGTCTCCATCGTCCACAGGTCAGAAAAGCAACCCAGAAAAGTCCAGGACGAGTCACCTCAAACAAGAGGCAGACGTGTGTGTGTCTGTCTCTGACTCATTTTGAAGAACCTCCTCCAAACTCAAGACTTCAACTGTCATTTCTGAGTTAATGTCTCCAAATTGCACATTCGTAACCTCAACCGTCAGACGTCCCCAAGACAAGCTCATCTTCCCCACGACAAGCTCCCTCAGTGGTCACGGGGGCTGAGCCCAGCGCCCAACGTCACATGGGGTTCTCTCATGGCTGTGTCTTAACTTTACATCCCATTGTCACGGAAGCTCTGTGTTGTCCTACAAAGCTGAAATCTGCCTGTGCTGCTTCTTGGTTCCACAGCATTCACCCAGCTCTCAGAATGCTCACTCAGTAAACCCCGATGGAGACCCTACCATGTGCTGGGCGTGGAGCACCCCAGTTAATGAGAAGACCTGCCTGCCCGAATTGCTGACGACCTCACTGCAAAGAGGGACACTGAACAATTCCTGCTTTACTTTTTTTTTTTTTTTTTTTTCAGACGAAGTCTTACTCTGTTGCCCAGGCTGGAGCGCAGTGGTGCGATCTCGGCTCACTGCAACCTCTGCCTCCCAGGTTCAAGCATTCCTCCCGCCTCAGCCTCCCAAGTAGCTGGGATCACAGGTGCATGCCACCATGCCCAGCTGATTTTTTTATGTTTAGTAGAGATGAGGTTTCACCATGTTGCGCAGGCTGGTCTTGAACTCCTGACCTCAGGTGATCCACCTGCCTTGGCCTCCCAAAGTGCTGGGATTACAGGCGTGAGCCACCATGCCCGGCCTCAATCCCTGCTTTACTGCTGGCATAAGTATCACCAAGGCAGGGTTTAGGGCTCTTGAGAAATGCATAAGATGGTGGCCCAAACTGCCTTAGAGGAAGGGGAGTGTGGGAAAAGTCTCCTTAAGGAAATGACATTGAAGTTAGGACCTGAGAGCTAAGGAAGCTGATCTTCAAAACCATGTTATTACATAAAACTATGGAAGAGCAATGAGTAGGCACCACACGCTTACAAGACACACGAGCCGAACGCTTTCCGGGCAAGGCGTCCTGCCCTACCTGTGGGGTGGAACTGAACAAACTCGAGGTCCTGGCAAGGAAGGCCTGCCCTGGTGATCATGGCCGTGCCGTCGCTGGTGCTGGTGTGGGCAGACGTGCAGCTCAAGTAGTTGCGCCAGTAGCCTATGGAAACAACAGAGAGCAGTGACTGCACACAGTGGCCCACGTCCGGACCTCCTGTCTAATGAGATCACAGAACGGACAGGGCAGCCCCCGGGCACCATCTTCTCAGTGCTGTGTGCACACAACCCCCAACTCACGCACACCCCACACACATCACTGGGGGCCATGCCAGTGGTGCTGCTACCCTGCGCAGGTAGGATAGAAGCCTGGGATCAGAGAAGAGACTTCCATTTATATTTTATTTATTTATTTTGAGATAGGGTCTAACTCTTGTCGCCCAGGCTGGAGTACGGTGGCACAATCTCGGCTCACGGCAACCTCAGGCTCCCAAGTTCAAGTGATTCTTCTGCCTCAGCCTCCCAAGTACCTGGGATTACAGGTGTGCACCACCACATCCAATTGATTTTTGTATTTTTAGTAGAGACTGGGTTTCGCCATGTTGGCCACGCTGGTCTCGAACTCCTGACCTCAGGTGATCCACCCACTTCGGCCTCCCAAAGTGCTGGGATTACAGGCATGAGCCACTATGCGTCTGGCCCTGTTTGTATTTTAGATTTGTGCTGTTCAAAAGGTTTCCCCAGTAAGCATATACTACTTTTATAATGAAAATTTTAAAATTTTTATGGATTTTGTTTTTTTCCCCCAGATTTACTGAGGTATGATTGATGAATTAAACAAAAAACAATACTGTATATATTTAAGGTGTACAACGTGATGATTTATTTTGTGAACTGATGACACAATCAACTTAATACACATCTATCACCTCATACAATTATCCTTTTTTTTTGGAGATACAGACACCTAAGGTCTACTCTCTTCGCAAATTTCAAGTTATATTAATGATAGCCACCGTACTGTATGATTTTAACTGTAGCCACCATGCTGTATAATGTTAACTCTGGCCACCATGCTCTATAACATTAACTCTAGCCACCATGCTGTTTATCAGACCTTCAGAACTTCACCTTGTGACGGGAAGTTACACCTTTAATCAGCATCGCCACAGTCTGCATTCCCCCAGCCCCTGGCAACCACTGTCCTACTCTGTTTCTGTGAGTTGTGACAGTTTTAGATCCACATATGAGTGACATGCAGTATCTGTCTTTCTGTGCCTGGGTCGTTTCACTTAACATAATGACTTTGGGTTCATCCACGTTGTCACACATGACAGGATTTCCTTCGTTTTCATAGCTGAATAATATTCAGTTGTGTACACACACCACATTGTCATTAAACACCAAAAATTTTTAGGTTGTTTCCATATCTCGGGTATTGTGAATAACGCTGCAATGAACATGGGGGTCCAGGTGTCTCTTTGAGCTTCTGATTTCATGCCCTTTGGATATACACCCAGAAATGAGGTTGCTGGAGCACATGGTAGTCCTGTGACTTTTGAGGAACCTCCAGAGTTTTCCACAATAGTTGTACTAATTTACATTCCCACCAACAGCACACAGGGTTCCCTTTTCTCCACATCCTCACCAACACTATCTTTTGTCCTCTTGGTAACAGCCACTCTAACTGGAGCGAGATGAGATGATACTCATTGGGGTTTTAATTTGCATTTCTCTGGTGCTTGGTGATGTTGAGCATTTTTTCATACATCAACTGGCCATTTGTATGTCTTCTCTGGAAAAATATCTATTCAAGTCCTTTGCCCATTTTTAGTAGGGTTGTTTTTTAGTAGGGTTTAGTAGGTTGGTTTTAGTAGGGCTTTTTTTTATTTTTTATTTTTTTTGCTATTTTAGATACTAAGATATCATTAGATATATGGTTTGGAAAATATTTTTTTCCCAACCTGTAGTTTTGCTGATTTTTTTTCTTGGCTGTACTGACACTTCTTAACTTTTAAAGTGGCTAAAGTAACTGCCACTGTATAAAATTAAAGTTTTTTATTTTCATTATGTGGAGAAGACAGACTTATCTATCCCAGGAATCAGTATAAACATAGAACCCACTAAAACAAGAGGGATTTTGCCAGAAAACCCCATGTGACTCTTCGGGCCACAGTTTCCTCATCTAAAATCGGGAGAGGTACGCTGTGAACCTGACGGCAGCCACTACCGACTACTGAGGGCCATGCTTTCTCACCCCCTGAGGCAGGTGCTGCTGTCCTCACCCTTTACAGGTGAGGAACCACGGCTGGGAAAGGCCATCACCCTCACACGGTTATATCAAGGCCTGTGTCTGAACTGCTATTCTACAATGCCTCTATTTTCCTTAAAATAAAGACACTCTAAATGGAATTTATTCATTTTTACAAAGGAAATAAAGTAGAAATTAGATTCCTACCCTGTGGCAACAATAGTATTCTTTGCTCTTATGC
Source organism: Homo sapiens (assembly GCF_000001405.40). Classification (NCBI taxonomy): domain Eukaryota; kingdom Metazoa; phylum Chordata; class Mammalia; order Primates; family Hominidae; genus Homo; species Homo sapiens. Next base: position 195,982,196 of record NC_000003.12, read on the forward strand.
GATGGATGGACCCGTCCTGTATGCACAGTGCGAAGACACCACGGCACTCCCCATTCTCCATCAGGAGATCCAAGGCAAAATACTCCACAAAACAGCTGGTATCATATCGCAGAGACTAAAAGAAAGAAAAAAAAAGGGCAAGAAGTGTTAAGCCAACCTTTAAGGTTTTAAGGTGGTATCTGCTCATGTGAATAGGTGAAAGAACTTGATCCAAATGGACCAGGTAAATCCAAGGAGATCAGCAAGAGTGTCAATGACACTGTCAGAGCCCGAGAGGCATTCCACGCCCAGCAGTACCAACAAGGCAGGTGTGCTAGAGAACGCAGCAGCAACAGCTCCTATGTTGGTGACACATTTCCTACTTCTACACAACCCGAAGAGGCACTCCACACTGTCCAGTGGCAGCATGCAGCTCCACTCGGAGTCTGGTGCCAGAGTGAGGTCCGCAGACCATGGGGTCACAGCCCAGATGGGAGCTACTGGCAACACATAACCACTTAATTAATTAAAATAAGTCAAAACATTCAGCTCTTCAGCTACACCTGCCACATTAGCAACAGCCCCATGTGGCTGGCAGCTACCAAAGCGGACGGTCGCAGACAAGCAGATTCCGGCACCGCAGAAAGGGAGGCGCCAGACAGCGCTGCCCGCCTGGACCTGCCGTTCCCTCAGCCAGCGCAAGTTGCTCTCATGAGCCTGGGCCAGCTCCCCACATGACAGCTCCTGCTCCGGACGGAGCCGCCGTCTCCTCCCACCACACACTTGTCGATGCACTCAGCCACAGAGAAGTCACTGGTGTTCTAACAACCTGCACATTACTGATCCGTCCCCACGCATCAGAAAACAACAAAGCTCAGAACATGGATTACTCTGAATCAATACTGTTCAGGATATTATTTGGTCATGCCAAAGTTGACCCTGATTACCCAGTCACTATTGTCACCTCAAGTCTTTGTCCAGTGATAACAGTTAATATTAAAACAATCCATGGCCGGGTGTGGTAGCTCACGCCTGTAATCCCAGCACTTTGGGAGGCCGAGGTGGGTGGACTGCCTGAGCTCAGGAGTTCGGGAGCAGCCTGGGCAACATGGGAAACCCTGTCTCTACTAAAATACAAAAAATCAGCAAGGCGTGGCGGCGTGCACCTGTAGTCCCAGCTACTCTGGAGGCTGAGGCAGGAGAATCGCTTGAACCCGGGAGGCAGAGGTTGCAGTGAGCAGAGATCGCGCCACTGCACTCCAGCCTGGGTGAGAGTGAGACTCCGTCTCAAAAACAAAGCAAAACAAAACAAACAAACCAAACCAATCCATTCAGGAACTCAGAGGTGGTAAAAGAGCCTTAAAATACTTCTTCTTTGTCTTTTTTTGAGACAGGTCTCCTGTTGCTCAGGCTGGAGTGCAGTGGTATGAACATGGCTCACTGTCTCAAGTGATCCTCCTGCCTCAGCCTCCTGAGTAACTGGGATTACAAGCATGTACCACCATGCTCAGCTACTTTTTAAACTTTCTGTAGAGACAGGGTCTCGCTATGTTCTCCAGACTGGTCTCAAGTGATCCTCCTGCCTTGGCCTCCTAAAGTGCTGGGATTACAGACGTGGGCCACTGTGCCTGGCCTGCTTGCTCTGTTCTTACATGCTGAGTGTCACATATCCCAAGTGAAAACCTGGTATATAAGATTATCAATTCAACTTCCCAACATAGAGGCAACAACTCACACATTGCCTTAGGGGCAGCTTCTCAAGGCACACGCCTGCTCCTGTCACATCCACAGTCGCTGCATGTGCCCCACACCGCTGTTCTCTGTTGCTTTTTACGCAATCTCTGGCTGACTCACTGGGCACGCTAACCCATTCCCCGCTGTCACCACAAGCCCCAGCACTACGTGTCCTGTCTCAGGTGGACGGGGGGCGGCCTTACCCTCCCGTATAAGGTGTGCAATATTGAGTGGCCGGTCCGATCAGCCACACAGCAGCACCCATGGGCCTGCCCGCCCTTTCCAAACTTGAGGCTGTGTCCGCCAAATGCACGCTGATAAATCTTCCCATCTTCAGTTCTGCTAAACGGCATGCCATAATTTTCTACCTGTGAAAGATAAAAACAAACAAAAGCCTTATTAACCTAAAGGAGTCAAGATATTCACAGCTAATCTACACTAAACAACTTTAATACAAATCTGCAAACCCAAATTAACCTATTTTATGAAAATGTCAACACTTCATCAAAGAGAAGTTTTTCTTATTACATGTAATACATAGTTCATGACGGACAAAGACTTCTCTGTGAGCTTTGCTAATCACCATTCTTTCGGCTGCCACATCTGCCTCAACTGCTTACATTTTTTCCAGGACTCTTGTACTAGAAACAGACCACCAGAGCACCCAGAGCCTCCCGCCCATCACCGCGACCATGGCAGTGGGGGCCTGCTCCGTCACGTAGTGGATGGCATCCTGGTCCCCCAGCCAGTCGGAGCCCTTCACGGTGTCATAGAAATGCCACCTCCAGTTGTCCTCCTCCATGTTCCCCAGAGCAGCATTGATTCCAACCTGGAAACACCAACCACTCCTTACAAGCCACAAACAGGAACCCCAGCTTTGTCTTCCAGGCCCAAATCCACCCGCTGGGGGATTCAGAGAAAGCCAACTACTCACGCGGTGACTCCCAGTGAGGGCTGACCTCAGCAGAGGAGCAGCCAGGCCTGACAGATTCCAGATCACAACCCCTCCCAGACTCACCCAGTGATTCCATCCCTTAGCCTCAGTCTCCTCATCTGTGTGGTGGAGACAGAGGGAACTCCAGGAAGGGCTGACTGGAGCAGTGAGTGAAAGGCTACCTGTAATATGCTTATTACCTAACGTATCTGGCACAGAAAAGGTACTCCATGAATCTCTCCGCATAATTTTATTAACAAATCTTCCCAACGGCATTTACGGGCATGTGTTAAAGATCAGAAGTGCTTCCTGCCAAGTAATAAACTCCATACTCAGAGTCGCACTCCCCTGTACCCCTACTTCCTTTGGCTGTGTGTGCCCACCACCGTCTTACCCCTCAGAGAGTCCCAGAAGACAGCAGCACAGGGACAAATGAAACCCTTGCCCTTTTCTTCCCCAACCTAAATTCTGAATCCTCCTCTTTAGATGATCTCCTTTTCTTAAGGTGTTGGGGTGGCAGGGGTGGGTGGGGAGGGTAGATGGTCAGAGAAAACCCAAGTGTGACTGGAGTCTGAATTAAGAGTGACAACAAGGCTCCCGCCCTTCAAAGTCCCCAGGGAAGAGGCTCCAGGGAGAGACCCCTGAATGGGTGAGCTGAGTAAGGCACAGCAAGAGGCCAAGTGGCTGGAGCACGGGGAGGAGGCAGGAGGCTGCCCAGGTAGAAAGTGCGAGGCTGCGCGGGACCTGCACGGAGTGGGAGCACAGTGGGGCACCTTTCTCTTACCTGCGCTGCAACAGTGTGTGACCTGGTAGGAAACAGCTTGGTAACACATGCTGTATCAAACTCTGCCTCGGAAAGGCCAAATGCAGCTCGCAAAGCCGGCCCCTCCAGCGCCTACCACCACTGCATCAAATTCATGATCCACTACTGGATACTGAGCAGAAATCTGGAAAAGAAAAATTCACCTGTCAATCACAGGTTCCACTATGCCAAACATGAAGACTCTTGTGCCAGTGAAAGAGCTTGACAAAGATAAAAGGAGCAACTGCTGGGCACACAGGGCCTCCATCCTGTCCTGGGGCTGAGCCCTGAACAGTGCGGGGAGAAGTAGGCACATTCGCACCTGGAGAAGGGACTGATAATCAGATTCTATGAATGGTAGAGGGTCTATTCCATGGGATCAGACTGAGGACCACAACTCTACTTCAGGGCCGTGCCTATGCTTATGCCTGAGAAGGTGCCAAGGAGCATTCAGTCGCTATTGTGAGCTTATGAGAAAAGAACTTCTCAGCACGTTTCAGTTTTCCAACAGAGAGAGAACAGGCACACTCAATACCAAGGAACCCACACCGGAAGGGCCCCACGGTCCTCTTTTCAGTAGGATTTTATCATCTATCACAGCAGATACTGTTCATTTTAATTTATTGCTTTACTTGACCTAAATTTAAATCTAATTTATAGATACATAACAGATACAAGTAAAAATGTTAACATCTATGTTTATATTTGTACTTGCAATTAAGTATTATTACACTGAAAATAATTTCAGCATGCATTGGATACCTATGAGAAATTTTTCCCTTATGTCTATGACTCATATGAAAACAAACTGGTATAGATCCTTACCCCCAAGCCAAAAAAATCATTTATAATGGAACAAAAAGCATGAACTTACGGAATCTGAAACTTTAGCAGATGCCCTCTCGTTCCTTCAACAGTGAAGTGAACACCTCGGGTTCCTGTTTGCAACACTGTTGGCCACTGGAGACACAGAAGACACAGATCCAGAGGGTTAGTGTCCTGAAGGAACAAATGCTGTGGGGGATAGTAATTCAAACTTCCCCTTGCAAACTGTTCACCTTCTTATGTACCCAGGTGCTCCTGTGCATCCAGAGAGCTCAGCTGGGACCCTCTACTTAACCCTGAAGGGCAGCCCAAGGGGCAAGGAAGGACTGAGCCCCCAGGTCCTCCTTTCCACCCTGGCTTGGCACTCTAGAAAACCAGGATGAAGCTTGTTTCCAAAAAGGATACTCACTGACTCAGATACGAGATGAAAAAGACGCACTTCCTCTGGGAAGTCTTCACTTATGCTACTTAGTGGAGGAGGGGAAAGACATCCAGATCGTATTACTGTATGTGGTATTTTGCAAATAATGAAGCATTTTAACCGGCTCCATCAGAGCCCTTTCCACATTACAGTTCCAATCGTCCAGGAGGGCTTGCGGTCAGTTCAAAAGGCACTGGACACCTGAATCAGGAGATCTGTATCCTGCAACAGTAAAGGCTGACAGCCCAGAGGGAAGAGGTGTCATCCCTTCATCACACAGGAGGATGTCGGATGCACACTCTCCCCTGCCTGGTTGCTGCTGGCTTTTTCCTGGCCAACGTCTACAACTTGACATATCTCGCTGCTTAAATTTTCCATCTTAGAAACCTTTACTCAAGAAAACTGGTTTTAGTGTTTAGTTTTTAGTGGCTCTGTGTGAGAGAGGTCACACTGTCCCATATGCTAAGGTTGGCCAGCCATTTAGGGGATACGTTTTCCATTCTGCTGGCGGCATTTTAGAAGACCACTGAATAGTCTCAGAAATATCATCAAGAATAGTTTTAGGGGCTGGGCGCGGTGGCTCATGCCTGTAATCCCAGCATTTTGGGAGGCCAAGGTGGGCAGATCACCTGAAGTCAGGAGTTCGAGACCAGTCTGGCCAACATGGCAAAACCCCCTCTCTACTAAAAATTAGCTGGTCGTGGTGGCGGGCACCTGTAATCCCAGCTACTTGGGAAGCTGAGGCAGGAGAATCGCTTGAACCCAGGAGGCAGAGGTTGCAGTGAGCCGAGACTGTGCCACTGTACTCCGGCCTGGGCGACAGAGCGAGACAATGTCTCCAAAAAACAAAAGAAAAAAAAAAGCTTTAGGAAATTATGCACTCAGCAATCAGAAGAGGGGATGTGAGGGATGTCTTCAAGTATTTAGAAATACTTGCAATTCACAAATTACTTATTATGTGGGATAAAAAATTATTCTTCATTTCTCCAATTTCTAGTCTGTTTTTATTGACATAAGCTAATTTAGTTTTTTCTTTTTTCAGAAAATGAGAAAGAACGAATATTCTTCTACCTTAGTATAATTTTTTACATGGTAAAATCATATTTTAAGAAAGAAGTCTTTGAAATAATTTTAATAAAAACGTTCTTGAAAATTTTGTAAAGTGCCCCATTAACATAGGTAATAGCACCAATAAAAACAGTACATTATACCAAATGTAAGTAGAAACAGTGAGATCACTAAATGTTTATTCGTTCTTTCTAGGATGTTGATGTGGAATACACACTGCCCACCCCCCACCACACACACACAGCTGGCTTAAAAGGGGCAGCTACTATAACACAATCTTGAACAAATCATCACGCCATCCCCCTGGGGAAAAGGACACTAACCCTCTGCATCTAAATCTCATCTGGGGCAGATATTTGAATCTGGAAAGCCCAACTTCAAGTCAATGTCAGTCTTTAGATAAAACTCAAAACTACTTTTGACACAAAACTAGTCTTTTGTGCCAATTATTAATTTTTTAGGAGAAACTATCAAACATTTCCTCTAAGAAAAAAAATGGGGAACATATAACTAAAAGGAATACTTAGACCTTGCTTAACAATACAGAATTTCAGATGACTGAATCAGGAGGTGGAGGGGGAAAAGTAACAAGTGCAGAGACATTCATATCCGAAATCTAGCAAAGTAAGGGGTCCTCATCGAATAAAATGCACCTATAAATCATGAGCAAGAAACGAATCTGCATGTACAACCTACACAATCACAAAAGCAGCCAACGAAGAACCCAAAAACGCACGACTTTCTGTAGGAAAAGCTACCTTCATCAAGATAAAAAGACTTTTACAAAACCCAAGACTAAATTTTGGTTCCATTTTGCTATCTTGCCATCTGGTCTGAGGTGCCTGGGGCCTTAGTCTGCAGAAGGAACACTGGGCACCATCTGGGTTGGGGACAAAGGCACTGGCTCTATCTAGCTTCTCTCCAACCACAAGCTACCAGTGCCCCTAAAAAGTCCCACTGACCATGGGCTTCACCTCCTGCTTGTGGACGCCCTCCCAGCAGCTCCTAAGAGCCCAAGATGCGGCGGGGGTCTCTGCTTGGTCAGCACCAACCACAGCAACACGCTAGAACGGTTTACACGCTTTCCGATGTTGACAGGATGGCTGTATGACTAATCCTCACATTTAATTCAAAGAGATTTTCAATAACTATTTCAAAAAGGAGAAAATTGCACAATCACAGGCATAATTCAAATCACTATTGCTGAATGCCTTGGTTCCTATTGAGATTTTTACTCTGCAATTTAAAATTACTTTGTAATTAAGAGGTGGGTGGCTAAGTTCATTTAAAAGAACCAAACAACTAAACCTATCCAATTTCGCTTGATTAAATAAAATCCTAGAAGGCCGATTCTGAAGATGCAATCGTAGAGGGCACACTCAGACACTCAGAGAGCAAGGGCTCAGGGAAGTATAACCCTGACCATCATCCTGGACTAAGCCGAGCCCGGCCCTCGAGGTACTCAGCGCACAGGCAAGCACAGGTCCTGGAGTCCTCGCTCGGTCAGTGCCCTGAGCTCTCCGTCTGATTTTTAAAAACTGGCACAGCTGCTTTTAAACACCGGCACATTTTTGTGGCACAAGGGCCACCAAACGGGACCCAAAGTACAGGTCCTTAACTTCCAAGATCCCGAAGTGGACATGCACAGATTTGCGCTCTCTGGAAAGGGGAACTGCAAGCCCAAGCTCGGGCGCGCCGCGCTTCCCACCGGACACCCACCCGGCCGAGCCCGGCCACTCCTCGCACCCACCCGGGCGGTTTCACCCGCCCCGCCGGCCCCACCCACGGGCTGCGGGCGGCCCCGCAGGACAACCCTCACAGACGGCGGCAGAGGCCCGGCCCAGCCAGGACTCCACCCCGGTGACCCTGGGCAGACACGACTCCTCCCCGAGTCCACCCGCCAGGCAGAGGCGAGGGGCTACCTCAGCCCGCGAGGTCGCCGGACCCCAGGCCCGGACCAAAGCGGCGGAGGGGACGCCCAGCAAGCCCGCGGGGTCGCGACCTTCACCGGGACGCGGCCTACCTGCTAAGGACCGAGCTCCCCAGGCCCCCGAGTACACTCCGCGGCTCCCCCTCGCACCGGCCCAGGGCTCTCCCAGCCCCTTCCCGATCCCCGGGCAGGGGGCGCGGGGACCCGGCGCCCGCTCCGCTCGGACCCGCTGGGGACCGTCCCGCTCCTACCGCCGCCTCGCCCCCCGCCTGCCCTGCCCCGGTCCGCGGCAGGGACTCACCGCCTTGGCCAGCGCCAGCGCCAGGCGCCGAGCGCTTGGCAACCGCGACAGGCCCCGGACCCCCGACACGTCTGTAGTCGCCGCCGCGCAGTCCCGCCAGTCCCTGCGCAGACTGCGCCTGCGCACCACGGCCGGGTCAAGGCGGGGCGCTAGTGGGGGACATTGCGCCTGCGCACCACGCGACGCCCGGGCCGGGGTCTAATGGGCGGGGACGCCGCGCCTGCGCAAAGCGGACCCGCGGACCGTGGCGCTGGGTGGCCACGGAGGTCCCGCGCTCCCCGACCGAGATAGGGCGGGCCCTATTTCGGGGAGATGTTGGGCACCAACTTTTTTTAAAGCCCCGTGGGTGGTTCTCCGGGATCTCCCAGACCGAGAGGGCCTGAACGTCCAGACCTCAGGGAATGGGGTCGAAGGGGCGGCGCTCGTCCGCGGAGGTGGGCGGGAGCGGCCCGGGGCCTCCGGCCTCTAGGGAGCGGGAGTGACCCTCGGTTTCTGGCCTCCGAGGGGCGGGAGCGATCCTCAGCCATGTCCCTAGCCTCTGGCTTCCGGCTGATTTTTAAATTTTTGGTAGAGGCGGGAATCTTGCTCTGTTGCCCAGGCTGGTCTCGAACTTGTGGCCTCAAGCGATCCTCCCTCCTCGGTCTCCCGAAGTGCGGGGATTACAGACAGAGCCACTGCGCACGGCCGTGGTCAGCTTTGAAAGCTGGGTAGATCCCTTTGGCTCATACGCCTTTCTGCTAGCTTACCCTGATTCTGCTTCTGGTTCAGATAGTATTTTAATATTTCTAGTGTGTCTTTTTGTAAGATACCTGAAATCTTTTTGTGGAATGAAGTGGCATGAAAAATAAACCAATAATCATTAGTAATTATGTTTCCTGCCTTTTCACTTTATTAAAATCTTCGTCTTGTGCATCATGTTTAACAATTTTGAGTTATTTTAGTAAATTTGCAAGGGTTCGGTCCCATTTTATTGATATTTGGGTTGTTTCCTATTTTTGCTCTTAATAACACCGTACAGAACATATTTGTGACCATAACTTTCTCTTTAGGATTATTTTTTTTAGATGTATGCCCCAGACGTGGCCTTTATTGGCTTGCAGGGAATGAACATCATACCTCCTAGACTTATTTTTTTAAAGTTATGCTGTTTTAGTCCTGGGTTAGTTACCTAATTTTGTTTGGTTTGAGACGGAGTTTCGCTCTTGTTGCCCAGGCTGGAGTGGAATGGCGGGATCTCGGCTCACCGCAACGTCTGCCTCCAGGGTTCAAGAGATTCTCCCGCGGAGCTTACAGTGAGCGGAGATGGCGCCACTTCACTCCAGCCTGGGCAACAGAGCAAGACTATATTGCTTTAATTTACTCTGCCGGCTATCTGGAGAGATGCAACCTCATCAGCAGAAATTATTTCCACCTGCTGCTTTTTAAATGTTATTTCCTATAGCCAGGTACTGAGCCCTTCAATTGAGGTCTAAACCCTCCACCCTCTCCCTCCGGGATTGCCAAGCCTGTGGTTTCAGTTCCATGCTCCCAGGTAGATTATGTCAACTCAAAGTCAATGCGCTTATGAAATACTTTTTGTGGTTTTTTTCTTAATTTTAAGAGGTTTTTTTTTTAAATATGTTTTTGTTTCATGGAGGCGACACCCTCTGTCTCTGAGTTGTGGGAGCCTTCCTCCTTCAGTCTGCATGTACTGAAGCCACTGTTTGCCGTACAGCCCCTCAGCCGCAGCAGCCCACAGTGAGGTGCAGGTGCTCACGCCATCGCCCCAGAGAGCTCCTCCATTCGCCCCTCCACCCGTAGCCCCTCGAAACCACTGCCCTGCTCCCCGACACGGTACACTGTCTTCTCCAAGATGTCATGTGTTGGCATCCTTCGGCCTGTGGCCACCGAAACTAGCTTCCTTCACCGGGCATGTAGCCTGGGAGACCTGGGGCATTTGGGTGCATCTTTCCACTGCTGGTTGGTGTCCCCTATGTGGAAGCATCCGCGTTGGTTCACGCCTTCTCCTGCTCCTGCCGATGGACATTTTGTTTTCTTCCAGTTATTGGCAATGAGGAATGAGGCCTAAACACTTGTGTGCAGGTTTGTGTGTGCACGTTTAAGTTTTCCCTTGGGGGACATTTCAGCAGTGGGGTTGCTGGATGACATGGTAAGGATGTGCTTAACTTCTTAAGAAACTCCCGGACCACTTTCCAGCATGGCGGGACCCCTCCCATTCCCACTGCAGCTTATGAGGGTCCCAGTTCCTCTGCATCATCACTAGAACCTGGGTTGGCCCATGGGTTTTGTCTGTTTTTAGCCATTTTAATGGATTTGCAGAGGTACTGCTGACTGGCATTTCTCCAGCATCTCTATGATGTTGAGCCTCTTTCTCGGGCAATATGCCCTCCTTATACCTTCTTTCATGAGGCCTCCATTCCAATATTGGCCCTCTCTTTAATACTGGGGTTTTTACTTTCTTATGGTTAAGTTTTGATGGTTCTTCATATATCCTGCGTGCCAGTAGGTTGTGAGACGTGTGATTCACAAATGTTTATTTCTAGACCATAGTTTGTGTTTCATTCTCTTTGGATTTTTATATTGCTTTATAGAATTATAATTTTAAATTTATGACTACATTTAATTTGTCAATCTTATGAATCATGCTTTTGGTGTCATGTCTAAGAACTTTTCGCCTAACCCCAGGCCATACGAATTTTCCCCTGTGTTTTTACCTAAGGGTTTGATAGCGTTAGGTTCTCCATTTAGGCCTTTAATAAATGTTGTGTAACATTTTGTGACCGCCATGGCCATACCTTTCTCCATCTCTCACGGTATCGTGGGCATTTGCAGCTCCCAGTGCGCCGTGCTGTTCCCGTCTTCTTGGTCTGCTCCTCCTGTCATACCTTTCTCCGTCTCTCACAGTATCGTGGGCGTTTGCAGCTCCCAGTGCCCCGTGCTGTTCCTGGCTTCTTGGTCCGCTCTTCCTGTGAGTTCCAGGGCACGTCTTAGTGCTGGCACTGTCCTGGTCCATCGGGGGTCCCATGAGCTTCTCCATGTGGGAAGGTTGGGACTGTGATGTTGACGGGATGCCCTGTGAGTCAGGAGGAGGTGCTGACGGGGGTTTCCATGTAGGAGAGAGAGGTGTTTGGTATTCCGGATGGGGCAGACTTGAGAGGGGACAAACTTGAGAAATGCCACCAATGAGAAGTGCAGGCACAGCAGGTCTCGGGGCTGCCCAGCCGTGTGGGAGCCAAACGTGGATGTGTCAGTGGCCACACCAGGAGGTAAACCCTCAACCAAGGGCCTCTGGGTGTCCAAGACCAAGTCTTGCTCAAGAGGTGTGTTCAGCTGAGCCAACCATGGCAGAAATGCATAAGGGAGATCCCACGGTTCCTCTGTTTAAATCCCCTGCTAATCCCACCAGACTCAGAGAAGCAGCCAAGTCCTCACAGCAGCCTGCAACCCCCGCCTGACTCGGCCTCCTCTTGGCTCTGATTCTCTGTACCCTTCTATCCCTGTCTCTTCTTCCATCAGAGAGGAGATCCGGCACGTTTATCCTGGTGGATTCAAACCCATCTTTGCCCCATATATAGTCACCGGAATGAATAGGTATAATCTAGAAAGAGTCCTTTTGAAAAAGAAAAAAGCAGGCCGGGCATGGTGGCTCATGCCTATAACCCTGCAGGGACCAGCCCCACAGGGTCGGTGGGTCTCTCCCTGTGTGCGGCGATGAGAGAGTGTAGAAATAAAGACACAAGACAAAGAGATAAGAGAAAGGGCAGCTGGGCCCGGGGGACCACTACCACCAATGCACGGAGAACAGTAGTGCCCCGAATGTCTGGCTGCGCTGTTATTTATTGGATACAAGGCAGAAGGGGCAGGGTAAAGAATGTGAGTCACCTCCAATGATAGGTAAGGTCACGTGGGTCACGTGTCCACTGGACAGGGGGCCCTTCCCTGCCTGGCAGCCGAGGCAGAGAGGGAGAGGAGACAGAGAGAAAGACAGCTTATGCCATTATTTCCGCATATCAGGGACTATTAGTATTTTTACTAATTTACTACTGCTATCTAGAAGGCAGAGCCAGGTGTACAGGATGAAACATGAAGGCGGACTAGGAGCGTGACCACTGAAGCACAGCATCACAGGGAGACGGTTAGGCCTCCGGATAACTGCAGGCGAGCCTGCCTGATGTCAGGCCCTCCACAAGAGGAGGAGGAGCAGAGTCTTCTCTAAACTCCCCTGGGGAAAGGGAGACCGCCCCCCCCTTCTTTCCCGGTCTGCTAAGTATCGGGTGTTGTTCCTTGACACCTTTTGCTACCGCTGGACCACGATCCACCTGGTAACGGGCGTCTTCACAGACGCTGGCATCACCGCTAGACCAAGGAGCCCTCTGGTGGCCCGGTCCGGGCATAACAGAAGGTTCGCACTCTTGTCTTCTGGTCACACCTCACTATGTCCCCTCAGCTCCTATCTCTGTATGGCCTGGTTTTTCCTAGGCTACGATTATAGAGCAAGGATTATCATAATATTGGAATAAAAAGTAATTGCTACAAACTAATGATTAATGATATTCATATATAATCATATCTAAGATCTATATCTGGTATAACTATTCTTGTTTTATATTTTATTATACTGGAACAGCTCGTGTCCTCTGTCTCTTGCCTCGGTGCCTGGGTGGCTTGCCACCCACATAATCCCAGCACTTTGGGAGGCTGAGGTGGGAGAATCACCTGAGGTCAGAAGTTTCAGACCAGCCTGGACAACATGGTGAAACCCCATCTGTAGTAAACATATAAAAATTAGCTGGGCGTGGTGGTGCGTGCCTGTAATCCCAGCCACTTGGGAGGCTGAGGCAGGAGAATCATTTGAACCCAGAAGATGGAGGTTGCAGTGAGCTGAGATCGCGCCACTGCACTCCAGCCTGGGTGGCAGAGTGATATTCTGTCTCAAAAACATAGTAATAGGAATAATAAAGGAAAAGTGCAAAAATTCAAACAACTTAACAGAAACTGGGCAAAAGAGCTGAACCGGCCCTCCACAGAAGAGGAAATGTGGAGGAATGGCTAATGAAAACATGAAGAGGGGCTCAGCCTAACAGGGGGAGATATCATGTGACACCCACCAGACGGGCAAAAATCCCACCACCCAATCCATGCAGGTGTTGGGGAGAATGGAGAGAAGCAGGAACACCAGGCACTGCTAAGAACGCTTGTGAAGTATATTTCTGCTATGCTTGTATATGAAAGAGTGTGTGTTGTGGGTTATGAGGAAAATTACATTTCTTACCTGGGATGAAATTTTAAAACTTGAAAGCTACTGACCAGAAGAAACTTGCACTTGTGTACAAAAGAAACGCCCAAGAACGTTCCCAACAAAACACAGTCCTAAGGGCCCCAACCTGGCCAAACCCTCATCCACGGGAAGATGAAGACATTTCCCATGCTCCCCTCAGACGACGGGAGACCATGCAGCAATGAAAATGAGCCATGTCAGTGTGGGTGGGTCTCAGGGAGAGAATGGAGGACAAAAATAGACACAGAGCAGGTGCTCAGAGCCATGCAGTGCAGGAGCAGCCACGCAGGAGAATTCCCTCACGTCAAAGTTCAAAACTACAGCCGAGGCAACAGAGCAAGACCCTGCCTCAAAAAGAAAACAGAAAGTTCAAAAACTAAATGGCTTATTTTTTAGGGATGTACACACACGGTGAAAGAAATGTACTATGAAGGAAAGTGTGCAAATAATAAAGACTAAGGCAAGAAGTGATTCCCTCCGTAGGAGAAGGGAAGGGACTGGGACTCAGGCAGGGCCTCCAGGGAGCATCCAAAGCTATGTCTCTTCAGATTCTCCTCCCTAAACTTGGTGGAGGTCCTCTGTGTCCAATGTGTCAATATTCTTTATACCTTACCCATACTGTACAAATGCTTTATTTCTATTCAATATTTAGAAGACAGTTATAAACAGGATGCATTCAATAGCAAGGTGGCAGATGAACATCAGGAAGGAACATCCATGAGCTTCCATCCACGGAACCTCACCATGGATACGCTTGTGATCAAGGGCCTGGTCTCCCCTCAAGACACGGTCACAGATCAGAGGCCACACCATCCTAGCAGTGGAGCAGGACCAGCTGGGACAGGGTCCTTCTGTGACACCTGCTGCATCACCAGGCTGGGTGAACGGACACAATTGCCAGAACTCACAGAATAGAAGTATCAGCACCGAAACCTCACAGGAAAAATGGTAAGTTCTAAGTTTCTCCATTAATAGTAACTCTCAGATTAATCTCTGTCATCCATCGCTTCTCCAAGAAATGACTTTTTAGGGTGACGTGCCAGGCGCCATGTTGGAGGGCTGGTGGTAGCGGCTTGGGGAGGTGCTCACTCTGTCGGTCTCACTCTCTCACACGCTTCCCCTGGCTCCCTTCGTTCCCCCCCACCCCACTTGGCCTGCGTGCTGGAGGGTGTGCGAGGGAGTGGGAGGACGTCGGGGGGTGGGGGGAGGCGTTCCGGTCCCCAAGAGACCCGCGGAGGGAGGCGGAGGCTGTGAGGGACTCCGGGAAGCCATGGACGTCGACAGGCTCCAGGAGGCACTGGAAGATTTTGAGAAGAGGCGAAAAAGAAAGTCTGTCCTGTCCTGGATCAGCTCCTTTGTCATGTAGCCAAGACTGGAGAAACAGATTCCGTGGTCCCAATTTAAAGGCTATTTTATTTTCAAACTGGAGAAAGTGATGGATGATTTCAGAACTTCAGCTCCTGTGCCAAGAGGTCCTCCCAACCCTAATGTCGAATATATTCCCTTTGATGCAACAAAGGGAAGAATACTGAAAACTGTCACTGGATTTAACCGTATCCCTTTTACTATTCAGCGACTATTGAATTGTTAACAGATCCAAGGAGAAACTATACAGGAACAGACAAATTTCTCAGAGGAGTAGAAAAGAACGTGATGGTTGTTAGCTGTGTTTATCCTTCTTCAGAGAAAAACAATTCCAATAGTTTAAATCGAATGAATGGTGTGATGTTTCCTGGAAATGCACCAAGCTATACTGAGAGGTCTAATATAAATGGGCCTGGGACACCCAGGCCACGTAATCGACCAAAGGTTTCTCTGTCAGCCCCCATGACAACAAATGGGTGGCCTGATAGCACAGACAGCAAAGAGGCAAATTTGCAGCAAAATGAAGAGAAAACTCACAGTGACTCTTCGACATCTGAATCAGAAGTTTCCTCAGTGAGCCCTTTGAGAAATAAACATCCAGATGAAGATGCTGTGGAAGCTGAGGGGCATGAGGTAAAAAGACTCAGGTTTGACAAAAAGGCGAAGTCGGAGAAATAGCCAGTCAAGCGACTTGCAGCGAAATTTCTTCAGTTGTGGTAGAAGAAACAGAAGCATCACCTTCATCCCATGATAAAGACAAAGAAAGCCGTGGTACCCGGCAGCGCGTTCAGAAGAGGATGAAGAAGATGAAGAGGAAGAAGAAGGGATTGAGAGACCATCTGTAAAAGGGAGGAGTAAGGAGATCCTCAAATTCTTGCATTCATTGTTTTCGTGAAAGAACTGTACATCATGGAACTCCTTGTAATGCCGACGCTGGGCTTTTCTCCCACCTGTATGCAGTTGCTGCTGAATTTCAGGGGATGTGATTTGAACTACAGAACATCAGAATTCATGAAACTTAACTGTGGAGGTATTTTGAAAATAAAATTTAAGTACAACAACATTTGCTTAGTTTTAGAGTCTTTTATGACATCAAGAGAAATGATCCCAGAAAGAAATAAACAAGAAAAAGAATCTGATGATGCCTCAACTGTGAATGAAGAGACTTCTGAGGAAAATAATGAAATGGAGGAATCTGATGTGTCTCAAGCTGAGAAAGATTTACTACATTCTGAAGGTAGTGAAAACGAAGGCCCTGAAAGTAGTGGTTCTTCTGACTGCCGTGAAACAGAAGAATTAGTAGGATCCAATTCCAGTAAAACTGGAGAGATTCTTTCAGAATCATCCATGGAAAATGATGACGAAGCCACAGAAGTCACCGATGAACCAATGGAACAAGACTATTTAGAAACATTTACATGCAGTATTTTACACACAGTTCTGGTTTTAACACCGTATAAAACTTTTATGTTAAAACGCGCACCTTTAGTTTTACAAGAAAAGCAGGTTGTAAAATAAAGTACTTTATGGATAATTCCTGAAAGAGTTGTCCATGTAAGAACTGTGAATATCAGCTCCTCTGGGTCCTGCTTACGTTACCACTGATTTCTTTCTTTCTTTCTTTCTTTCTTTCTTTTTTTGGTCTGGGCAAATCAGTGGTTTGTATATAGATTTTTTTTAAAAATTTAGGATTAAAGTTTTTAAACTGGAAAGTAATTATAATTTTGAACAGTTTTTTGAGATTATCACATTTAGTTTATACATATGCAAGAAGCTTTTTGTCTTGTGTCTTTCTGATAGCTCTAGCAGTTTTCATATTTTGGTCATAGTTTCAACATTTTAACATGTGAATAATAGGGTTTCATGCTGGTTTCCAGATTGTATTGTTCGGCTACATACAATGGAACCTTAAGTTGTGTATATATATATATATTATTCTAAGGGGGAAAATGTTATATTTTTCTGTTTGTATAAGAGATGAATACAGTGGATACTTTTTCTATTGGTAATGACTGAGTTCACCTCTTTCAGAAGACATTTTCTTTCTCTTCTGAGTAACTGAAATAAAATCTGGCCTTTGTGAAACCCTGGAAATACCACGACCCTCAACTAGAAACACCAATACCAGCTCCTCCGTGAGTTCCCAGCTCCACAACCTAAGACATCAGAGGCAGCATTGGTTCCTCACGTAGATTCCAGCTCCGGGACCCCCATATTTGAACCGCAAGACCATCTCATCCCTGGATCTCCAGCTGCACCACACTCAAATTAGAACAACATCAGCTCCTCCCCAGGTCTCCACCTGCACAGCCCTCAAACGGGAACGTCAGCTCCTCCCCGGGTCTCCAGCTGCAGGGCCCTAAAACTAGAACATCAGCTCCCGCCTGGGTCGCTAGCTGCACCACCCTCAAACTGGAACATCAGATCCCCATGGGTCTCCAGCTGCAGGGCCCTCAAACTGGAACATCAGCTCCCCACCAGATCTCCAGCTGCATGGACCTCAAACTGGAACATCAGCAACCCGCCGGGTCTCCAGCTGCACTGCCTGCAAACTGGAACATGAGCTCCCTGCCGGGTCTCCAGCTGCTTGGCCCTCAAACTGGAGCATCAGCTCCCCACCAGATCTCCAGGTGCATGGCCCTCAAACTGGAATATCAGTTCCACCCTGGGGCTCCAGGTGCACAGCCCTCAACCTGCAACATCAGCTCTCCACTGGGACTCCAGATGCACGGCCCTCAAACTGGAACATCAGCTCCCTGCCGGGTCTCCAGATGCACGGCCTGCAAACTGGAACATCAGCTCCCGTCAGGTCTCCAGCTGCACGGCCCTCAAACTGGAATATCAGCTCCACCCCGGGGCTCCAGGTGCACAGCCCTCAAACTGCAACATCAGCTCTCAGCCAGGTACCCAGCTGCATGGCCCTCAAACTGCAACATCAGTTCCCCCCCGGGTCTCCAGCTTCACGGCCCTCAAACTGGAACATCAGCTCCCCAACCAGGTCTCCAGCTCCACGGCCCTCAACCTGCAACATCAGCTCCCCACCAGATCTCCAGATGCACGGCCCTCAAACTGGAACATCGGCTCCCCACAGGGTCTCCAGCTGCATGGACTTAAACTGGAACATCAGCTCCCAGGCCCTCAAACAGGAACATCAGCTCCCAGGCCCTCAAACAGGAACATCAGCTCCCCACAGGGTCTCCAGCTGCATGGCCCTCAAATTGCAACATCAGTTCCCCGCTGGGTCTCCAGCTGCACCGCTTCAAACTGCAACATCAGTTCCCCCCTGGGTCTCCAGCTGCACCACTTCAAACTGCAACATCAGCTCCCCGCTGGGTCTCCAGCAGCATGGCCCTCAACCTGGAACATCAGCTCCCCCGAACCCGGGTCTCCAGCTCCACAGCCCTCAACCTGGAACATCAGCTCCCCCCAACCCGGGTCTCCAGCTCCACGGCCCTCAAACTGGAACATCAGCTCCCTGCCGGGTATCCAGTTGCACGGCCCTCAAACTGGAACATCAGCTCCCCACCAGGTCTCCAGCTGCACGGCCCTCACACTGGAACATCAGCTCCCCACCAGATCTCCAGCTGCACGGCTCTCAAACAGGAACATCAGCTCCCCACAGGGTCTCCAGCTGCACGGCCCTCAAACTGCAACATCGGTTCCCCCCTGGGTCTCCAGCTACACCGCGTCAACCTGGAACTTCAGCTCCCCCCCGGGTCTCCAGCTCCATGGCCCTCAACCTGCAACACTGGCTCCCCACCGGGTCTCCAGATGCACAGCCCTCAAACTGGAACATCAACTCCCCACCGGGTATACAGCTGCATGGCCTTAAACTGGAACATCAGCTCCCTGCCCAGGTCTCCACATGCACAGCCCTCAAACTGGAACATCAGCTCCCCGCCAGGTCTCCAGGAGCACGGACCTCAAACTGGAACATCAGCTCCCTGCCAGGTCACCAGCTGCATGGCCCTCAAACTGGGACATCACCTCCCCACGAGGTCTCCAGCTGCATGGCCCTCAAATTGCAACATCAGCTCCCATCAGAGTCTCCAGCTGCATGGCCATCAAACTGGAACATCAGCTCCCCGGCCCTCAAACCGGAACATCAGCTCCCCGCCGGATCTCCAGCTGCACAGCCGTCAACATCAGCTCCTCCCCGAGTCCTCAGCTGCACGACCCTCAAGTTAGAACATCAGCTTCTCCCCAAGTCTTCAGCTGCGTGACCCTCAATCTAGAACATCAGTTCTTCTCTGGGTCTGCAGCTGCAAGACCCTGAAACTACATCAGCTTCTCTCCAGTTCTGCAGCTGCAAGACCCTCAAACTACAACATCAGCTTCCCTCCAGGTCTCCAGTTCCATGACCCTAAATCTAGAACATCAGCTCCTTCCTGAGTCTCCAACTGAAAGACCCTCAAAGCGAACAACATCAGTTCCTCCCCGAGTCTTCAGCTGCACGACACTCAATCTACAACATCAGCTCCTGTCTGGTTCTCCAGCTGCACGACCCTCAAACTACAACCTCAGCTCTTCCCCGAGTCTTCTGCTGCATGACCCTCAATCTAGAACATAAGCTCCTCTCTGGGTGTCCACCTGTAGGGACCTCAAATTAGAACGTCAGCTCCTCCCAGAGTCTTCAGCTGCATGACCCTCAATCTTTAACATCAGCTCCTCTCCAGGTCTGCAGCTCCATGACCCTAAAAATACATGAGCAGCTCCTCCCTGAATCTTCAGCTGTACGACCCTCAAACTACAACATCAGCTCCTGTCTGCACCTCCAGCTGCAGAGCCCTCAAACTAGAATATCAGCTCCTCCCCGAGTCTTCAGCTGCACGACCCTCAAACTAGAACATCAGCTCCTGTACAGATTTCCAACTGTAGGGCCCTCAAACTAGAACATCAGCTCCTCCCCGAGTCGGCAGCTGCAAGACCCTCAAATTACCAACTCAGCTCCTCCCGGAGTCTTCAGCTGCATGACCCTCAATCTCGAACATCAGATACTCTCTGGGTCTGCAGCTGTAGGGCCCTCAATCTAGAACATCAGCTCCTCCCGAGTCTTCAGCTGCATGACTCTCAAACTAGAACCTCAGCTCCTCCCCGAGTCTTCAGCTGCACGACCCTTAATCTAGAACCTCAGCTCCTCCCGAGTCTTCAGCTGCACGACCCTCAATCTAGAACATCAGCTCCTCTCCAGGTTTGCAGAAGACCCTCAAACTAGAACATCAGCTTCTCCCTGAGTCTTCACCTGCATGACCCTCAATCTAGAACATCAGCTCCTCTGCAGGTTTGCAGCTGCAAGACCCTCAAACTACAACATCAGCTCCTCTCCAGGTCTGCAGCTGCAAGACCCTCAAACTGGAACATCAGCTCCTCTCCAGGTCTGCAGCTGCAAGACCCTCAAACTAGAACATCAGCTCCTCCCTGAGTCTTCACCTGCATGACCCTCAATCTAGAACATCAGCTCCTCTCCAGGTCTGCAGCTGCAAGACCTTCAAACTAGAACATCAGCTCCTCTCCAGGTCTGCAGCTGCAAGACCCTCAAACTAGAACATCAGCTCCTGCCCGAGTCTTCAGCAGCATGACCCTCAATCTAGAACATCAGCTCCTCTCTGGATCTGCAGCTGCAAGACCCTGAAACTAGAACATCATCTTCTCTCCAGGTCTCCAGTTCCGTGACTCTAAATCTAGAACATCAGCTCCTCCCTGAGTCTCCAACTGAAAGACCCTCAACGCGAAAAACATCATCTCCTCCCCAAGTCTGCAGCTGCAAGACCCTCAAACTAGAACATCAGCTCCTCCCCAGGTCTGCAGCTGCACGACCCTCAATCTAGAACATCAGCTCCACCCCAGGTCTTCAGCTGCACGACCCTCAAACTAGAACATCAGCTCCTCCCTGGGTCTGCAGCTGGAAGATCCACTAACTAGAACATCAACTCCTGTCTGGGTCTCCAGCTCCATGACCCTCAATCAAGATTATCAGCTCCTCCCTGAATCACCAGCTGAAAGACCCTCAATGTGAACAACATCAGCTCCTCCCCGAGTCCTCAACTGCACCACCCTCAAACTACAACACCAGCTCCTCCCCGAGTCTTCAGCTGCAGGACCCTCAATCTAGAACATCAGCTCCTCCCCGAGTCTTCAGCTGCACGACCCTCAATCTAGAACATCAGCTCCTCTCCGCGTCTGCAGCTAGAAGATCCACTAACTAGAACATTAGCTCCTGTCCAGGTCTCCAGCTCCATGACCCTCAATCAAGATTATCAGCTCCTCCCTGAGTCTCTAGCTGAAAGGCTCTCAATGCAAACAACATTAGCTCCTCCCCAAGTCCTCAACAGTGCGACCCTCAAACTAGACCATCAGCTCCTCCCCGAGTCTTCAGCTGCACGACCCTCAATCTAGAACATCAGCTCCTCTCCAGGTCTGCAGCTGCAAGAACCTAAAAGTAGAACATCACCTACTCCCTGGGTCTGCAGCTGGAAGATCCACTAACTAGAACATCAGCTCCTGTCCGGGTCTCCAGCTCCATGACCCTCAATCAAGATTATCAGCTCCTCCCTGAATCTCCACCTGAAAGACCCTCAACGAGAACAACATCAGCTCCTCCCTGAGTCCTCAACTGCATGACCCTCAAACTACAATATGAGCTCCTCGCCGAGTCTTCAGCTGCACGACCCTCAATCTAGAACATCAGCTCCTCTCCGTGTCTGCAGCTAGAAGATCCACTAACTAGCACATTAGCTCCTGTCCGGGTCTCCAGCTCCATGACCCACAGTCAAGATTATCAGCTCCTCCCTGAGTCTCCAGCTGAAAGACTCTCAACGCAAACAACATTAGCTCCTCCCCGAGTCTTCAACAGCGCGACCCTCAAACTACAACTTCAGCTCCTCCCCGAGTTCAGCTGCACGACCCTCAATCTAGAACATCAGCTCCTCTCCGCGTCTGCAGCTGCAAGAACCTAAGAGTAGAACATCAGCTCCTCCCCGAGTCTCCACCTGAAAGACCCTCAATGAGAACAACATCAGCTCCTCCCCGAGTCCTCCACTGCATGACCCTAAAACTACAACATCAGCTCCTCGCCGAGTCTTCAGCTACATGACCCTCAATCTAGAACATCAGCTCCTCTCCAGGTCTGCAGCTGCAAGAACATAAAAGTAGAACATCATCTCCTCCCTGGGTCTGCAACTGGAAGATCCACTAACTAGAATATCAGCTCCTGTCCGGGACTCCAGCTCCATGACCCTCAGTCAAGATTATCAGCTCCTCCCTGAGTCTCCACCTGAAAGACCCTCAATGCGAACAACATCAGCTCCTCCCTGAGTCTTCAGCTGCACGACCCTCAATCTAGAACATCAGCTCCTCCCTGAGTCTTCAGCTGCAACAATCTAAAACTAGAACATGAGCTCCTCCCTGAGTCTCCAGCTGAAAGACCCTCAACGTGAACATCAGCTCCTCCCCGAGTCCTCAACAGCGCGACCCTCAAACTACAACATCAGCTCCTCCCCGAGTCTTCAGCTGCATGACCCTCAATCTAGAACATCAGCTCCTCTCCGGGTCTGCAGCTGCAAGAACCTAAAACTAGAACATCAGCTCCTCCCTGGGTCTGCAGCTGGAAGATCCACTAACTAGAACATCAGCTCCTGTCCGGGTCTCCAGCTCCATGACCCTCATTCAAGATTATCAGCTCCTCCAAGTCTCCAGTGAAAGACCCTCAACGCGAACAACATCAGCTCCACCCCGAGTCCTCAACTGCACGACCCTCAAACTACAACATCAGCTCCTCCCCGAGTCTTCAGCTGCATGACCCTCAATCTAGAACATCAGCTCCTCTCCGGATCTGCAGCTGCAAGACCCTCAAACTAGAACATCAGCTCCTCTCCGGGTCTGCAGCTGCAGGGCCCTGAAGGTAGAGCATCAGCTGCTCCCCGAGCTAGAACACCTGTCCCACCTGGATCTCCAGCTCCACGACCCTCACAGAAGAACAGCCACACTGGCTCCTTCATTGTCTTCAGCTCCACAACCTAAGACATCAGTGGCAGCACCGGCTCCTCCCTGGACGTCCAGCTCAACGACTCTCATAGACTTAAAAGGCAGCACCTGCTCCTCCCCAAGGCTCCAACTCCACCACCCTCGGATTTGAACAGCGGTAGCACCACCTCCTCTCCAGGTCTTCAGCCCCACGTCCCTCCCTGAACAATCCCTTCTTGTGAAATTCAGCAGTCAAGAAATCTGCAGCGAAAGTAAATGAATAAATGTTTTGTTTTCAAGTCTATGTCTCTTTTATGTTCAGGCAAGTCAGTTAACTATTCTACTTTCCATTAATCTTGCAATCTACTTATGTCCAATGTGAGATAGAAACACACCATTTGAAAACACGTTTAAAAACTTAGTAATTTTTAAAGTATGATCACACAGCTGTAGATACGATCTTATTTCTCTCTGCCTGTGCAGAAGTCTTATGAAAATTCAAACTGAATTTACCATGTTGAGATTCCCAGAATACACATTAATCCCAAATGTTACTCCCCTCCTTAAAATCTTTTAACATATTCCCATCACCCGAGCATAAATGCCAGCTCCCATCCACAGCCCAAAGTGCCCAGCACGGCCCTGCCCTCTGCCCTCGCCTATGGTCTCCTCTCTGGTGCCCGGCCCGGCCCTCTCCACCCCTCTGCCCTGGCCTATGTTCTCCCCTCTTAAATGCCAGCTCCCATCCACAGCCCAAAGTGCCCAGCACGGCCCTGCCCTCTGCCCTGGCCTATGGTCTCCCCTCTTAAATGCCAGCACCATCCACAGCCCACAGTGCCCAGCACGGCCCTGCCCTCTGCCCTGCCCTCTGCTCTGGCCTAAGGTCTCTCCCCTGTGCCGTTCCCTTCCTGACGGACAGGCCTCTGTCCGTTCCTCAAACCACACAGGCTCAGGCCTGACTCCAGGCCTTTGCACTTCTGTACCCTCTGCCTAGGGTGCCTTTCCCGGGCTCTGCATCCTCCTCTCAACCCGCTGAGCTCCAGCCTGCTGGTCGCCCCTCAGGTGGATGAACACACGGTGTCCTCTCGCCCCACCAGCTTTTGCACAGGCTCTTCTCTGTGCCAGACACACACCCTCTCTATCGGGGTTTACTCTCTAAATACCATTCATCCTTGGAGTCTCCACTGAAATATCGCTCCCTGCCCACCCCCCTCACTTGGACTTAACCTTGGTTAGGTTGCCAACCCCCGTCTCCTGACTCCGGGAAGCTAGATGCTCTCCTAGCACTCGGAACTTGCCCATCGCCACATTTGCACACCCGTGGTTACTGGGTTAGGTTGGGGCACAAGTCATCGCGGGTTTTGCCATTACTATTCATGAACTGCAGCACCGGCTCCTCCCCGTTTCTTTTGTGTTTTTTTGTCATTACTTTTAATGACTGCTGCACCAACCTGTTAGAATCATTTATATTTATCCATCCATCATCTGCCTTCCCCTCTAGAAAGGAAGCTCCATGAGAATAGAGGCCAAATCTACTCAAATCACTCCACCTTCCCAGCACATTGTTTGTCAATAATCATTTACAAACTGACTGATAGAGAAATGCCTTCCCTGTTGCTGGGATGAGGCACATGACATGCCCCTTTGAAAGTCAATTCCATGGACAGTTAGCATTTGCTCTTCACTCCTGCACCCATGGCGTGGCTGGGCTTAGGCTGATCTAGTCTGGCCTTGACTCCAGGCTAAGGATGGGAACCATGCCTGCTCCACACGCCTCTCATCCCACAGCCAGAGCCGCCGTTCCCTGGGGCACGTGCATCTCGTGGGGAAAATCAAGAGCCTTAGAGGGCAGGCCTGGCAGTGCCCACACATTCCAGGCTTCTGTTTGTGCCGTGTCTGTGAAAATCTCGTTGGCAGAAGCAAGTCACCCAGCCACGAGCAACACCTATGGGATGGATAAGTCCATCCACCCTCCCTCAGGCCCTGGCAAGGTTGTGGCTATGTCATACTCTTACGGGGGGAGTGAAAAATTGAGGCCCAACATTAAATCACCCAGGCAAGAAATGTCAGCCTCTGTCCCCACGCTGGAATCATTTTTCACCAGCGGGTTTGCCTGAATTCCCTTTGCAATGGTGTCTGCAGGTTTAGGCCAATGCTGGTCCCCGTGGAGGACACAGAAGCCTCAATGGGCCTCCGTCTGTTGGGAAGAACAAGATACCAGCTTGGTGCAAAACCACCGCAAGCCCCAGGGGGCCCTTGCGCCATGAAACAGGAGAGGGGCAGAGAACTGTGGGAGCTCAGGAAAGCTTGCGTCCCCAGCCCCTCCCCTGCGTCCCCAGCCCCCTCCCCAGCATGCCCCCATCTCTGCTTCCTTTCTTTCTTTCCTTCTCTTTCTTTCTTTCCTTCTCTCTTTCTTTCTCCCTTTCTTTCTCTCTTTCTTTCTTTCTTTTTCTTTTCCTTCCTTCCTTCCTTCCTTCCTTCCTTCCTTCCTTCCTTCTTTCTCTTTCTTTTTCAGGGTCGGGCTCTGTCATCCAGGCTGGAATGCAATGGCGTGATCTCGGCTTACTGCAACCTTCACCTCCTGGGCTCAATCAATCCCCCTTCCTCAGCCTCCCCAGTGGCTGGGACTACAGGTGCACGTCACCACACCCAGCTAATTTTTTTTTTTTAGAGACAGGATTTTGCTATGTTGCCCAGGCTGGTCTCGAACTCCTGAGCTCGAGCAATCCTCCCACCTCAGCCTCTCAAAGTGTTGGAATTACAGGCGTGAGCCACTGAGTCCAGCCTGCTTTATTTTTCTTTACAGTACTTGGAACCTTCTTTTTTTTTTTTTTTTTTTTTTGAGACGGAGTCTCACTCTGTCTCCCAAGCTGGAGTGCAGTGGCGCGATCTCGGCTCACTGCAACCTCTGCCTCCCTGGTTCAAGCAATTCTCCTGCCTTAGCCTCCCGAGTACCTGGGACTACAGGCATGTGCCACCACCTCCAGCTGCACCTTGATCTCAGAGACTTCTGGCCTCCAGAACCATGAGACAATAGGTTTCTGTTGTTGAAGCCCCAGTCTCTGGAACGCTGTTAAGTAGCCCCAGGAAGCTGGCACAGAACCCGGCCGGCCCTCCTGGGCGAGCTGCTTTCTGCCAGGCTCTGGGGGTGGCGGGTGGCCTTTCAGTGATCTCCTCCAGCACTTGACCCTGTTCTGACTTGTATTTTGGGAGTGTCTTTTGTCTTCCTAATGTTGATAGCCTCACACACGTGGCATTGTACTGGCACCCGAGAACCAGCACTCATGTATGTAGCACTTTCAGAAATTAGTTATATTTATGCATGGTCATGGTCATACTCATAAATCTAATTGGACTTCTTTTTTAAGAAAGTGAAACAAAGCCTGAATTCTCCATTGTCGTGTCGGCCTCAGTTCCCGGAGCTGTCCTGTAAGTTCCTTGAAAACAGGTGCACCCAACCTGTACGTGGGACCTCTCAACAGCTGCCTCATAGCCTGGGCCCTGGACAGCTCTGAAGTCAGAGGAGTGGGGCTTCAGTAGGTTGCGCTGGGGTTAAATCCTGGCCATTACCCACAAGGAAAGACCAATGCAGCAGAACCGTCCCTGAAGCAGCGAAACGTGGTCAGGAGCCGTCCGTCAGTGAGAGCCATCCCTTTGGAAGTTCTTCACAGGACGATACGTCTTAGAATTTTTAACACATAGTGATGTGCCACGAGGTGGCTTTCCCGCCTCATTCCTACTGACATACGTTTATATTCAAAGTAGAAACAGAAATCGTCTTCTACATAACAAAGTCCTGAAAATCGTCACAGCTCTTAAGCCACGTGGTTCCTCAGCACCACCTGAGCTGACCCGTCCCAGCTCGTGATCACACAGACAAAGACATAACTGTAGAAGCGTCGGTATTTCATATGTATCAAATTTCATTTTTAAAAGACATTTTTAGGGGACAGAAATGTTATAGAACAACTTTTAACGTTCCACAAAAGTATAAATAGTAGAAAAGGAAACTAGTGCGTGTGAACTAGGACTCCATGAAAAGTACCCAGTAGTTGAAGCTCCACGACTCCATGGACAGAAGTTTGCATAAATATTTAAGCGATGTTAGTTCCTGAACATATAAGCAAGCCGTGGCAGGTCTGTGGCCAGAGCCCTCTGGAGTCCTTGCTGGGAAGGCGCAGCTCAGGGGGCTCCTGTTACTGGTTGAGGAGGGGAGACATGCCACTCACCTCTCCCAGGGAGCCCCCGGCCACGGACTCTGGCAAGAACAATGGGGCAGAACATAAGGAGCAGTGGCCAGGCAGCAGGTGCACCTGCGTCCCCTCCCGCATCCCCCCTGCATCCCCTGCCCGCATCGAGGCAGC
This sequence comes from Homo sapiens, assembly GCF_000001405.40. Lineage (NCBI taxonomy): Eukaryota > Metazoa > Chordata > Mammalia > Primates > Hominidae > Homo > Homo sapiens. Next base: position 196,009,159 of record NC_000003.12, read on the forward strand.
AGGGTCCACAAGCTCTCAGGGGCCACGTGCAGGACACTCCAGGAAGGACCACACAGCCTGAGCTGGGGGCCACAGAGAGAGGACTTAAGGGGAAGGGCAGACACCCCACCCCTCCCCACACCCTGCCCCCTGCCCTCTGCCCCCTGCCCCCGGCAATCACCTGGGTCTGTGGCAGCAGCTGTGGGGACAATGGCAGAGGGCAGGACCCAGCCCCGTGGGGGAACTTCCTCTCCATGTGGGGCTCCAGCAGGATGGGGCCAGACCCACTGCTTCTTTCTCCCACGTCTTCCCAGCCCTTGGCCCAGGCCTGCCACAGCCATGGGAGTGCACAGCTCAGCAGGTAACTAAATCCCCGGCTTTCTAGCTAGAGAATGAAAATGAGGGTTCCCAGGGAGAAAGGACATTTTAGGGAGATTCGGGAGAGGGAGAGTCTTGGTAAGTGGCGTGTGGCCTCCTGGGCTGCCCTGAGCTGTTCACATGTGGATTTGAGCTCATGGGCAGACCTCAGCCTAGACCCTGGCGGTGCACACACTGGGCACATGCAAACAGCATTGAAGGCTTTGAGAAAGGAACTGGCTGGGGAAACCCAGACCACAAAATGTTAGTTGAAACTTACAGCCTGAATTTAATCGGGTTAATGCTCACTAAAACAAACCAATACAAAATCAACATTCTTCATTGGAGTGAAATAAGATGCAGAGTCTCCTAACGTAATATTCATGGTGTCCAGAATGCAATTCAACCTTACTAGGATATGAAGAACCAGGAAAATGGCAACTCACGCAGGAACCAGCCAGCCCATGCCCGTACCAAGATGACTGAGATGTTGTGATCCGCTGGCAAAAAACATGAAAATAGCTGTGATAAAACCACTGCAGCCCTAGTCACAAACACTCTTGAAACAAATGAGAAAGGAGAAAATCTCAGGAAGGAACTAGAAGATGTAAATATAAACCAAATGGACATCTTAGAATGGAGGGGCAATAAGTTCTTTTTGAAAAAAACCTCACTGGATGGGATTATAGAAGACAGTAAAGAAATATCAGAATGGAACAAAGAGTCTGTGGATTTGAATATAGGTTAATGGAAATTATCCAATCTTAACAACAGAGAAAAACATGAGAAAGGAATGTTTTAAATGAGAATATCTTCTCGTGGAGACTCAGTGCGCAGACCTAGCTTGTAACTCTCCTGCCACTGGAGGGGCAGGTGAAGGAGACCTACATGAAGATGGATTCACAAATTCCAACTAGCAAATATGGGTTCCAGGCAAAGTGTGAAAAGTTAACTATGTACATTTTATTTCCTAGACAGTGATGCACTGTGTAAAATTAAATCACCCCAAATATAATGATAGAGATAGAATGAAAATCAAAAGGCAAAAAGTGAAGCAAACACCATGCAAACCCTCATCGAAGACAGTGGGATAAGCCACGTTAGTATCAGGCAAAGTAGGCTTTGAAGCAAACAAAATCACCAGGGATAAAGAGAAGAAAAAAATAATGACAAAAGGGTCAAGAAAACAACAATCCTAAATGTGAATTCACCAAATGCCAGAACTCTAAAATACTTGAAACAAAAATTTAAAAACCCAAAAAGAGAAATAGACGAAGTCCACAGTGAGGTGGTAACACTGCTCTATTAATAAAGATTATACTAAAAAGATAGAAAGTTCTCAATAATGTAGGTTTCGACTTTTTAAAAGGTAGAAAAAGGAAACCAAAATGAATCAAAACCAAGCAGGAGGAGGGAAATAATAAAGGTAAGATCAAAAAACAACAAAATTATTTTAAAATACAATAGAAAAATGAATGACACCAAACCTAATTCTTTGATTAAATTTGAATAAAATTGGTGAACTTCTAACAATACCATTGAATAAAAAAGGAAAGGAGGGAGACACAGTTTACCAACATTGAAAAAGAAAAATGGGTCATCATTATAGACACTGCAGACACTAAGGGATAAACAGGGAATAATATGACAACTCCATACACATGAACTCAACACTCAGGTAAAATGGACGGATTCTTCAGAAAACACAAACTCACCCCATGTGAAAGCAATACCCTCAGAGGGTTATTTGTATTCCCAAACCTTTTAACAAAGAAATCTCCAGGCCCATTTTTTTGGCTAAGAAATTCTAATAAATATTTCACAAAGAAATGCCATCAGTTCTACATAATGTCTTCAAAAAACAGAAGAGGAGGACTCCCCAAATTATTTAATGAGGGCAAGTCATCAGGATACCAAATGCAGACAAAGAGCATTCAAATAAAGAAAGCTACAGATCAATACTCTTCATGAATATAGACATAACAGTCCTCATTAAAATGTTACCAAATTAAATCTGGCAATAAACAAAAAGAGTAAAGAATACCATGCTAGAGTCCAAGTGGTGCTATTTACTCCAGGAATACAAGGGTGGTTTGATAGCTTAAAAAGTAAAATCAACTAATGCAATACATCATATTAACAGTTTAAAGAATAAAAATGACATGATAATATCAATTGATGCCAAAAGGCAGTTGACAAAGCAATATCAATTTATGATAAAAACTCAGCCACAAAGATAAGAGGAGAACTTCTCCAACCTGAACAGGGCATCAGCAGAAGGTCTATGGCTGGCATCACACTCAACAGTGAGGGACTCATGCTTTCTCAGTGAGATCAGGCAGAAGATAGGAATGCCCAGATTTTCTAATCCTATTGGACATCACACTTAAAATCCCAGTCAGTACAAGGCAAGAAAAAGAAATAAAATGCATATTGATTGGAGAGAAAACAGCAGTGTCCTTAGTTGTAGATGACATGATTTTACACACAGAAAATCCCAAGAAACACAAAAACAAAATAAATAAATAACTCTCAGAAATAATGAATGAATTTAGCAAAGTAGAATTTATGATCAACAAATCATATTTCTACATTTACATAGAAAGCCAATCATATTTTTCCATAATAGCAATGTATAATTGGAGACTCAATTTTTTAAAAAATGCCTTTGTATAACAGGTCCAAACAATGAAACATTTAGGTATGAATCTTTCCAAACATGTACAGGATCTCCAAGTTACTACAAAAGACCTATGAAGACAATTTTTGCATATATGTATGTATGTATAAATAAATGGAGAAACAACATGTTCATAGATTGAAAGACCCAACATGGTAAATACATCAGCTCTCCCCAAATTGATCTGTAGTTTAATGCAATTCCAATTAAAATCCCACAAAAATGTTTAAACCGAGCTGATTCTAAACTTTATATGGAAAGGCAAAAGACAGAGAATATGCAACTTGATACTGAAGAAGAACAAAGTTGGAGAAAACATAAAATTAAAACTACTTTATTTTAAGACTTACTATAAATCTGCAGTCATCAAGACGGTGGCATTTGCAGAGTAGCAAACGTATAGATCCTTGAAACAGAATACAGTGTCCAGAACACAAACATGCCAAATATGCAAAAGGAGTCATGGAGGGAAGGAGTCTTTCCAACAAACGGTTATGAATCATGTTGACGGGCATGTGCAAATATCTGCAATCTAAACCTCACATCTTATGAATACTTAACTGAAATTAATCACAGATCTAAAATGAAAACTACAAAAGTGTAAACATTTTAGAAGAAAACATAAGGAGAACTCTTCATGACCTATTATTAGGCAAAGAGTTTACTATAATCAGGTTAAAAAATTGATGTACTCCACAAAATGTTTAAAATTAAACTTTGTACTAAACGATATCTCAATTCAATTGCACCCTGGTAAAAAGCCAAGTCTACCTGGACATCTCAGAATCCTCTGCACCAATGTGGAAGGATGCTGGCTTCCCACACCTGCTGTAGTCAGTTACCAGAAACCCAGGGGCTTAAAGCAATCGAAGTTTCTTCTCTCACAGCTCTGGAGGCATGAAGTCCAAAACCAAGGTATGGGCAGGGCCTGCTCCAGTCAAGGCCTCTCAGGTCTGTGGGGTGTGGCGGGCGGAGGAGGCACCTCTGGGACGGTTGCCACATCAGTCACAGCAGAAGCACCCGTGCTTCCCCCAGCATCTTGAAGAAAGCTGAGGAGGAGCAGTCAGCAGCTGTGCCCTGTCTGTTTTAGCAGGAGCCTGAATAAAGGCACAGGTGGCTGCAGCTGCGTCCAATGCCACCAAATGGGGCCTTTGTGAGCCATGGACATACCGAAGGACCTCAGCATCTTCAAAGCCCTCAGACGTGGCAGAAAACCAGTTGGGAGGAATATTTGCTCCCGCACCGACGCGCAAACAGCCTGACGTGTGTGAATACAGAGACCGGGGGGTTCCTTCCGAAGGCTGTTTAAATTCCCATCGTGTTTTCAATGGGCATTCATTTAGCAGTCTTGGCTTTATGAATCATAAAAATAAATGCTCTGTTTGTTTTTGTCCCTCAAACGCACTCAGTTAACCTGCTCCTGTCCCCAGAAGGCGATTAACAAACACTTAAACTGCTGGTCAGCTTGGTCATTACTCCAACCCTGCATGACGATGGAACCATCAACACAACTTACTTTGATATTTTTTCCTCCCCAAGCACCAGCTCAGAGGAGGCCAGCAGGCCCGGGCCCCAGGAGCTTCACCTCCTCCTGATGCGATGTGTGACTCTGGGACCCCCTCACACTCCTGGCCCTGCAGCCCCTTCCCCTGCATGCCCCCTCCTGTGAGAGTCTCAGTGACTGTCCAAGAGCACACCTGGCCTTGTCTCTCCATGACCTTCTCCTGGGCTCAGACCAACACAAGGAGAGCCAGGATGGAGAGTTCAGGCCTCAGCTTCCCCTCAGTGTGGCCCCAGGGCCTCGGGTGGTGATTGCCCAAGCCTCCTCAAGTGTGGTGGGCGGGTATTGCTGCTGGTGTTGAGGTGGGGGGGGTGTTGGAGTGGATGGGTGTTGATGGGTGTTGTGGTGGGGGAGTGTTGACTTGAGTGTTGTGGTGGGCAGGTGTTGTGGTGGGCGGGTGTGGACTCAGGTGTTGTGGTGGGCAGGTGTTGTGGTGGGCGGGTGTGGACTCAGGTGTTGTGGTGGGCGGGTGTTGTGGTGGGCGGGTGTGGACTCAGGTATTCTGGTGGGTGGGTGTTGACTTGGGTGTTGTGGTGGGCGGGTGTTGTGGTGGGCAGGTGTGCACTCAGGTGTTGTGGAGGGCGGGTATTGCCACGGGTTTGTCACCTCTTCCTGTCCCAGGAAAGTGCTGGTTCCCAAGAGCACTCCCAGGTAATGGGTTGAGGTTTTCCACTATGGGCCCCAGCACCAGTTCTGGGCCCCAGGAAATTCTCTGTGGACGCTGTGCTCTTACCCCGTGCATGGACATTGAGCTATTGGTAGGTCTTTACAAACAATCCTGGGTCCACTATTCTGAGAGGAGCTGAACTCCTGTGTGAGACACCACATCGGAAACACCAGGGCCAAAAGCACAGATGGAGTCTTCCTTTGCTTCCCCAAAGGAAGAATGCACAGGAGCCTGGCACTCCTGGACCTGAGGAAACCCTGAAATGTTGGCATCTGCAGATCCTCTCCAAAAAGAGGTCACCAGTCTCCTAACTGCAAGTCTGACCCCAGCATTCTGGGAGCCAAGAGGGAGAAAGAGTCTGTGGATCTCCCTGCTCAGTAAATTGGCTTTCACTAAATCCTCTCTGTGCATAAGCAGCATTACCCAGTGTCCTGGAGCTTAGAAAAGTCCTGTTTCAATGTCTGAAGAAAATAAATTGTTTCTTTTTCCAAAGTCAGGGAGGAGTATTTGACTGCCAGTGTGGACTGAGGGGTCTTGGGATCACACTCTTCCCAATCAGCTTTGAACCGACCCTCTGTGTCTGCCTCACCATCTCCTCTGCTTATCTAGACACTTGGGAACCCTAACACAAGCCCTTCTAGGAGTCTGTGGTGTGGCTCAGCTGCCTCTGTAGGCATGTCTCTTCCCAATGTGCTTTGAACCGACCTTTCTGTGTCTGCCTCACCATCTCCTCTCCTTACCTAGACACTTGAGAACCCTAACACAAATCCTTCTAGGAGTCTGTGGTGTGGCTCAGCTGCCTCTGTAGGCATCTCTTGGGGTTAAACATTTTCCACTCTGCTAAGGCAGTGCCATCTATTCTTCTGCTTCATCTTCAGAAGACACTGAGCCCTTCCCCACCCTCCCTTCCCCACCCCCCACACCAAGTCCGTGGCACCCTTGAGGCCACAGGGTTGCTGCCATAAGATTTTTGTACTGAGTGTTCTCTCTCCAAGCAACTGTGAGAGATTTCTATGGGCAAGGCCTCCGGGTTCCTGTTAAATCAAATTGTAGTTGAGTGTTGGGTGCTATTCAAGAAGCATCCACCTTTCTCCTTCCTAACAGAGCCCTGAGTTATTCAGTCACATGGTTTGAAACATGGGGTGAGTGCTGGTTGACTTAACCTAACCAGCACCGTCTCACCCTGTGTCACAGTTACTGGTTCCAAGGTGGGTGCATAACTGAGGCTCATGCTAGGTGCCACACAGCACTCCCTTGGTCCCCCTAATGGACTTGGGGATGGGCAAGGGCCTGCGTTGTTCCAATTAGAGTCAAATACACATTGTGCTAAGAGTGTGCTTGTTCATGCTCCCTCTCTGATGAAGAATGCAGCCTCAGAAATTGTTCCTGGAGATTTTGCCACACTCAGAATGATTCTGACTTCACTGAAGGCAGAGCAGAAAATTGGGAAGAGACTGAGTCCTGGGTAGCATCCATGAGCTTCTGTGCTCAGATTCACCCTGAAGCCTGGCCTGCTTCTGAACTACCCACCTGAGTCAATAAATTGCCTTCCCATTAAAGTCAAATTGAGCTGGATTTTTAGTTACTTGCACCTGCAGGTGTTCTGTGAAGCTGGTACTGTGAGTTTGTATCTGAGAATATTTACAGTTTCTCTCATGGTTGAGTCAATCATTTCAAGGATGCTTTGAGGGTAAAAAGAATGATCAATTGTGAAGCAGTGAATTGTGCTGCCAGGCACAATTCATTGGGCAATAGAAAGCCTCATTTCCTGGGCAGTAGAAAGTTTCATTGTACATTAGTTACATATCTTGTTTCTGTCTCAACCTCCTATTTTTTCATATGCAAAGGAGGTAAGGAAGTCCACATAAGTCCAGCAGCTAATATGCCTCTCAGGCATGATCCAAAACAGAATTGAATTATGCAAGCCTTGTTAAAATTCATTGTCGTCATTCATATTTCTGAATATTTAAATTAGAAATTCTGAAAAAGTAGTTTGTTTCAGAGGTAGTTTGTGTGTATGTAGGTATTTTTTCAGGATCAAAAGTTTATTTTTTATTGTCTGATTGAGTTTAATTTACATATAATAAAATTTAGTAATTTTAAGTGTACAAATGAATGCATTTTGACAAATATATATAGTCATGTACACAACACTACCATTGAAATACATTTCATTACCCCGAAAATTCCCTTGCATGCTGCTGTAGTCAGTGCCCCCTCCACCACAGCTCCTGGCAGTTGCTTTCTTTCACTCTGGTTTTGTCTGAGAATTTGATACAGGCCACGTGTGGTGACTCATGGCTGTAATCCTAGCACTAGACTGAGAAGGGAGGATCACTTGAACAAGGAGTTTGGGTAACATAGCAAAACCCTGTCTCAAAAAAAAATACACACACACAAAAACTTAGCCAGGTGTGGTGGCACACACCTGTGGTCCCAGCTACTCAGGAGGCTGAAGAATCACCTGAGCCTGGGAGGTCAAGGCTGCAGTGATCTGTGATCACATCACTGCACTCCGGACAGAGTGAGATGTTGTCAAAAAAAAAAAGAAAGAAAGAAAGAAAGAAAGAAAGAAAGAAAGAAAGAAAGAAAGAAAGAAAGAAAGAAAGAAAGAAAGAAAAGCATTTGATATAAATGGAATCATACAGTAAATTATCTTATACCTGGTTTCTTTCATATATTTTAATGCCTTTGAGCTATGTCCATGTGGTTTCCAGTGTGTATGTCATTCTTCTTACGTTGGGCAGTAACCACTGCAGGAATATATTACAGCTTGTTTATCTATTCTGCAGTGATAGACTATTTTAAAAATATTTGGCTATTAAGAAGAAAGTTGTTAAGAATACTTATATTCAGGCCTTTGTGTAAACAGATTTTCACTTCTCTTGGTTGAAAACATAGGAGGAATTATTATTTTTTAAGTCATGGATTTTTAAATGATTGTCAGTTACTTTAAAAAATGTAAATTCTTAAATTAAAAAGTTTAGGATGTCTGACAACCCTGACAAAAGCAAGCAATGGGAAAAGGATTCCATATTTAATAAATGGTGTTGGGAAACCTGGCTAGCCACATGCAGAAAACTGAAACTGGACCCCTTCCCTACACCTTACACAAAAATTAACTCAAGATGGATTACAGACTTAAATGTTAGACCTAAAACCATAAAAACCCTAGAAGAAAACCTAGGCAATACCATTCAGGACATAGGCATGGGCAAGGACTTCACAACTAAAACACCAAAAGCAATGGCAACAAAAGCCAAAATTGACAAATGGGATCTAATTAAACTAAAGAGCTTCTGCACAGCAAAAGAAACTACCATCAGAGTGAACAGGCAACCTACAGAATGGGAGAAAATTTTTGCAATCTATCCATCTGACAAAGGGCTAATATCCAGAATCTACAATGAACTTAAACAAATTTACAAGAAAAAAACAACCCCATCAAAAAGTGGGCAAAGGACATGAACAGACACTTCTCAGAAGAAGACATTTATGTGGCTGAAAAATACATGAACAAAAGCTCATCATCACTGGTCACTAGAGAAATGCAAATCAAACCCTCAGTGAGATACCATCTCACACCAGTTAGAATGACAATCATTAAAAAGTCAGGAAACAACAGATGCTGGAGAGGATGTGGAGACATAGGAACGATTTTACACTGTTGGTGGGAGTGTAAATCAGTTCAACCATTGTGGAAGACAGTGTGGCGATTCCTCAAGGATCTAGAACCAGAAATACCATTTGACCCAGCCATCCCATTACTGGGTATATACCCAAAGGATTATAAATCATTCTACTATAAAGACACACGCACACGTATGTTTATTGCAGCACTAGTCACAATAGCAAAGAATTGCAACCAACCCAAATGCCCATCAGTGATAGACTAGATAAAGAAATGTGGCACATATAAACCACGGAATACTATGCAGCCATAAAAAAGGATGAGTTCATGTCCTTTGCAGGGACATGGATGAAAATGGAAACCATCATTCTCAGCAAACTAACACAGGAACAGAAAACCAAACACCACACGTTCTCACTCATAAGTGGGAATTGAACAATGAGAATGTATGGACACAGGGAGGAGAACATCACACACTGGGACCTGTCAGGGCGGGTGGGGGCCTAGGAGAGGGATAGCATTAGGAGAAACACCTAATGTAGATGATGCGTTGATGGGTGCAGCAAACTACCATGGCACGTGTATACCTGTGTAACAAACCTGCACGTTCTGCTCATGTATCAGAACTTAAAGTACAAAAAAAATATAAAAGTCACAGGATGTTTGTGATAGTATCTATTACACTGATGTTAACATCACATGGTTGACTATGTGGAGACTCCAAGTGAAATTTCTTGCAGTTGTCAGTGCCAGGAAAATCTGTATTTCTGGATAAAACTCAAAGAGTTTAGAAAAACATTCAAGTTTCATAGTCTAGAGGTCTAACACTGGAATCTTTTCCAAATTTAAGGTTTAATGATTTTCTTAAATCTAAAAATAGTAGGTTGCAGATGTATTTAAACAGTGTGCCTAGGTAGTATGTTTATATATTAGGATTAAAATGCTCTTCTAAAGTTTACTAATTCTAACACAGCCTTTATTGTTTCATGGAGACATATCTTTCCGATTCCCAGGTTAATTTAAACAATTAATTCAAAGCAACTATTGACTTAGTTCTACATTGGGATACCTATTTATGCATTTGAAGCCTTAGATATGTATTTCAAATTAGAAACGTGTACTGGTCATGGAAAGTTGTGACTGAGAGTCTCAGGTAAGTTTTGTTTCCATGTGAACACACTGCTTCCAATTAATGTTATGCCCAGAGCAGACAATTAATAAACACCCTTTGAAGTGAATGAGTGATTAACTGCAAATATTACAATACATCTTCTTAGTGGGCATGATAATTGGACATATTTAGTCCTTGCTGTGACCTAAGAAAGGAATTGTTTTCATTAAATGTTTAATGTTTCACCCTGTTCATACAGCTGGAGTTACTGATTCAGTTTGATGTGAATTCAGTCTTATAAAAAACCCATCATTATAACCTGCACTTATGCTTCCTACAGTATCGGAACTTCCAACTTGTAGGCAAAATAGATATGCTTCATATTCTTAAAAACCACAAGAAATCTCCCTTTATTCAGAATAAACATAGAATTAGATATTCTATTAAACTGAACAATAGGACTCACTGGGAGTGACCACATACACTATACCACGCATTGCCCGAGTGTCTGAAAAGGTCACTGGACCATTTCGCTCCATGCTGTGCCACGGGCCAACCACGAGGGCTGTCAGTGACTCACTGCGTGGGCCACCCAGGGCATGTGGTGCTGAGGCTGTCGAAGAGCAAGACGAGGCTGTATTTAAACTCAGGCCTCTGCTAAGTGTCAGAACTTGGGCAAGATGCCATACACTTTAGAGCCAGTTTCCTTTTCTATGACTGGGTTATAACACTCACCCTGTCAGGTTCTCGTGTGCGTTGACAAGGCCGGCATGTGACACACCAGGGGCAGAGCTGGACGGGAACCTTCTTCCTCAGACATCAGGGTCCTCATGAGCATCAACAAAATAAGGAGAGCTGTGTCAGGACTGCAGCAGGGACTCAGCAACAATCAGTCTCTTTCTCTTGTTTCATCCAAATCATACATTTAAAAAAATAGGTGGGGTTATCATTGATGTTTATATTGATTACTGGGATCAGACAAATACACCTTTCCTTGTCATGCTGTTTTCTCTTCCCAGATGGTTTGAAGAGCTTCATTTTGGACTTGATACTCCTGGAATGCACATGAGAAACAGTAGCCAATGATTTGCACATTTCACAGCAGTGTAGCTCTTCATTCACAAACTCAGATAGAAAAAAAAAACAAAAAAACTTCTTGTATTTTCTAATGAGTTCAGTCTTGACCCTGAGCCATCTCCCCTCCAGAATGGCAGGACACTCCACTCCACCATTGTTGTGGGGCCACAATTTCACTAATCAAGGGCTCCTTGGCTTCTGAAAAATGGGAGATGCACCTCTAATAACCAGTCTAGATTGTCACTGCTCACTTCCTTATTTTCCAATTCCACAGGGGCCCCCAAAGCCCAGAAGATCTCATTTCCAGGCGTCTTATAGACCATGGGAACCTGGTAACACTGGGAACCCCGGGGCCAGCACCCACCTCATGTTCACCCTGTTTCCATCACCTTCTAGGCATTGCTACAGAGCAGTGTTGGGACCCACTGGAGATCTGACTGCTCCCAGCCTGGAAAACTGCCTTCTCTCTCTCCACTGAGCTCATGATATTTCTGCTTTCCGCCCCACAGAAATCCTTGAATGAAGCACAAAAGGGACTGGTAGTTACCTGGTGTGAAGCAGAGCTGAGCCTATGGGAGGAAGCAATATTGCAATGGACTCTGTCATTGATGTCACTAGTGCACAAATCTGTTACCACTATGGTCAAATTTTTATATTCACTTTAAGATTATAACTCATTCTGCTCATTGTATTCAATGCAACATCTACCCCAAAAGATACTCAGGCTTTAATTTATGCTTTTCTGTTTACAAATGAGAATTCATCAGCAAATTGAGGTAGCAAGTAGATATTTAGATATTTTTTAAATTGAAGGCAAAACAGAAGACACATACACATACATCAGTGAAACAGAACAGAGAACCCAGAAACAGAATGAAATGCAGCCAACTGATTTCTGACAAAGGAGCAAAAGCAATTCAATGGAGAAAGGAGAGTCTTTTTAACAAATGGTTCTGGAACAAGTGGGCATCCACATGCAAAAAAAAAAAGAATATGTAACAGACCTTATACTTTTTACAAAAGTTAATGCAAAGTAGATATTAGACCAATATATGAAATGTAAAATTTTCAAACTTCTAGAAGATAACATAAGGAAAAAAAATCTAGATAACTTTGGATTTGGTGTTTTTTTTTTCAGATACAACACCAAAAGCATGATCCACAAAGAAAAAAATTGGGAAGTTTAATTTCATTAACATGAAAAACTTTTGTTTTCAAAAGATACTGTTAAGAGAATAAAAAGATAAATCACAGACTGCGAGAAAATATTTGCAAAATATATCTAAGGATTCATATCTGAAATACACAAAGAACTCTTAAAACTCAACAATGAGAAAACAAACAAAACTGGGCAAAAGCTGAACAAATCTGCAGATGGAAACTAAGTATATGAAAAGATGCTGTGTATAATATGTTATTAGGAATTGCCAATTAAGACGCAATAAGATACCACTACACACCTGTTAGAATGGCCACAATCCACAAGAATGAAAGCACCAAATGCTGGTGAGGATGTGGAGCAATGAGAACTCTCATTCATTGCTGTGGGAATGCAAAATGGCACAGCCACTTTGGAAGACAGTTTGGCAGTTTTTACAAAGCTCACATAGTCTTGTCATAAGATTTAACAATTGTGCTCCTCATTATTTACCCAATGGAGTTGAAGAGTTATATCCACACACAAACTTGCACACAAATGTTTATAGAAATGTGGGCAGCAAGCCACCCAGGTGCCGATGTAAGAGACCGAGGGCACGAGCTGTTCCAGTGTAATAAAATATGTAAAATAACAAGAGTTATACTAGATCTAGATCATAGACATGATTATCTACGAATATCATTCATCATTAGTTTGTAGCAATTACTCTTTATTCCAATATTATAATAACCCTCGCTCTATAATCATAACCCAGGAAAAGCCAGGCCATACAGAGATAGGAGCTGAGGGGACATAGTGAGGAGTGACCAGAAGACAAGGGTGCGAGCCTTCTGTTATGGCCGGACCGGGCCACCAGAGGGCTCCTTGGTCTAGCGGTAACGCCAGTGCCTGGGAAGACGCCCGTTGCCAAGCGGACTGTGGTCTAGTGGTAGCGTCAGTGTCAAGGAAAAACACCCGCTACCTAGCAGACCGGGAAAGGGAGTCTCCCTTTCCCCGGGGGAGTTTAGAGAAGACTCTACTCCTCCACCTTTTGTGGAGGGCCTGACATGAGTCAGGCCCGCCTGCAGTTATCCGGAGGCCTAACCGTCTCCCTGTGATGCTGTGCCTCAGTGGTCACGCTCCTGGTCCGCTCTCATGTTCCACTCTGCACACCTGGCTCTGCCTTCTAGATAGCAGTAGCAAATTAGTGAAAGTATTAAAGTCTTTGATCTTTCTGAAAAGAGCATAGAAAAAATAATGGCATAAGCTGTCCTCTCTGTCTCTCTGACTCGGCTGCCAAACAGGGAAGGGCCCCCTGTCTGGTGGACACGTGACTCCGTGACCTTATCAATCAGTTGGATGACTCACAGTCTTTACCCTGCCCCTTTTGCTTTGTATCCAATAAATAACAGCGCAGCCTGGCATTCGGGGCCACTACTGGTCTCTGCGTCTTGGTGGTAGTGGTCCCCCGGTCCCAGCTGTCTTTTCTTTTATCTCTTTGTCTTGTGTCTCTTTTTCTACAATCTCTCATCTCTGCACATGGGGAGAAAAAACCCACAAACCCTGTAGGGCTGGCACCTACATAGAAGCTTTATTCAGAATTACCAGAAACGAGGTGACCAACATGTCCTTCAGTAGGTGAATTGAGAAATAAATTCTGGTACCTACAGACAATGGAATATCATTCAGTGAGAAAAGAAATGAGCTATCAAGTCATGAAAAGGCATACAGGGACCCAAAATGCACATTACTAAGTGAAAGAAGCCAAAAAGGCTACATACTGTATGATTCCAATTATGTGACATTTTGGAAAAGGAAAAACTACATAGAGAGTAAAATATCTATGTAATTACGTGACATTTTGGAAAAGGGAAAATTACATAGATAGTAAAATAATCAGTGGTCGACAGGGGTTGGGGAGAGGAAAGGATGGATGGGCAGAGAGCCCCGGATGTTTAGGGCAGTGAGATCACTGTGTGCGATTTCACCACAACAGTGGACCCACGACAGTGTGCAGATGCCAACACCCACTGAACGCAGACCACAAAAAGGTATTAATTACATAAACTATGAACTTTCATAATGAAGTAAATCACGTTTTAAAAAAGTAGACAGTTTTTTTTCAGTTATTGTCTACTTTCTGAAATGGAGATGGCGGAGTGCTTCCATGGTTGTGAGGATAAAAATAGCTTAGAGAATGTAATAACTAAAATAGGTGTGTAAACATTGTTAAACTATTTTATCCTCATTAAATATATTTGTAACTTTTTACAACTGAGCGAGTAGTGCAAACACATTAACATAATTCTCCTGTAGCTCCACTCAGAAGTCAGGACTGCAGGGCTTCAGTGCAGGGCCACACAGCTCCACACGCACCTGCCAAACGCAACAGCCTCTTTCAGCGTCATTAAAATATTTCAACAGGAGGACTGAGTTTAGACTCAACCTGTGTTTTCTCCCCTGGAAAACGAAGGTTTCATGAAGCAAGGAAGGTCTTTACTGTCCTCATCCGAAACGCTGAGGCATCTGTGATGTCTGCTGTAAGTGCCACCAGGCTCTCCGCTGAAATCTCGCAACGGGAAAATAGAGACCGTAGATTCTGCTTTTAGAAAGGGGAGAATCAGAAGTAATGTGGAAATGCCATGTCCTCGTTCATAAACATCTTCTTTTACAAATTCCACAAGTTTAGTTACTTTGGGATTAATATGGGCTTATCTTAAAGTGCGTTTATTAACTTAGCGTGAGTTGTTCAAATGCATTCTGGATCCTGAGCCGACATCCAGCAATGCTGAGTGTGCGCCTGTGTGAGTCACCAGCCCTGATGAGCCTCAGGTTATTGTGTTCGTAAAATGAAGGGGCTTAGGCTTGCTGCGATTTTTTAAAAACCATTTTTAACAGTAAAAATTTTTTTCTTGCTACATAAAAATGTACAAGAAAAACTCAGACATTACCAATGATAAATTATAATTTTATTAATATAAATATTTTTGTGAGCTCAATTTATATGACTTAGTTATTATAAAAGAAATAAGCAATATGAGGTGGCCATTACCATCCTGTCCCGTTTTATTTTGTTCATATGCTATTGATAAATCTTGATGTATACAGAAAAGTAGTTTCAAAGAATAATAATTTTTAAAAAGGACTTGTAATTTCAAGAGACTTTTAAAAAAATCTGCAATTGCTTTTTAAAGGTTCTAAAACAGTTGTCTATGCCTTAAAGCTAAATAACTACAAAGAGCTCACTCTTCTCACATTCTGTATTATAAATATGTAAGTCAGAGAAACAACAGACAAAATCATAAAAACACATGCATGAACAAATGGGCCTTGGTTTACATTTAATTGGATCTTGCAATACACATGGGTTATAGTAGTATTTCTGTGTGTAATTTTACATGAGTGGATTGCTATCAAAATAAAAATTGTCTACAATCTCTTTTCAGTGGTAAATTTGCACAAATGGTAAACATACACATAGAGATAGTGGGAGAAATTTATTTCGTGGCTTGCAAGAAGACAGGTTAAGTTGGGACATTTAATTGTTTCATTAATGCTACATTTTAAATGCACTTGTATGGGCATGGTATTTTAATGTATTATTATGACTTTTAAATGCTCAATGTTACAGATGGAATATTAGAGCAAGTACTAACTTATATCTTCTTTGTGTGTGCTTTGGAGGCATCAGGAAATAAAGCAGCCCTTTTCCCTTTTCCCAGAAGCTGTGCTTCTGCAGATTAGATCTCTCTGTAACACACACACACCCATGCACGCATGAGCGCACACACACGCGCACACACACGAGCACACGCACGCGCAGGCACACACATGCACACACACGCACACGCACACACACGTGCACACATACACCCAATATAGCCTTTAGGGTTAAAAGGAGGAAAAGAGAATTTGCCTGGATAACTCTTACCCAGGTATTTTCTGGGGAGATCTAGAATAATCTAAGGGGGTAAGCTGGACTAGCCAATGGGAAATCAAAACGAAGATACTGGAGAGATGTTCCCAGAAAAGGAGCATTCCTAATGGGCTTGGCCCTAGTCACATGCAATTCCCCAGATGTGGTTGGTGTGGCCAAGGTTCCAGCATTTGTCAGCTGCTTTCTTGCCACTTCTTGTGCTGTGAGGAGTATCCCCTCCCCAATGCCAGAGGCAGTCGTCCTCTAACCCCCTTCAGAGTAAAGGGCCAGCAATTGGCAGTCACAGGAAAAGTAGTGAGACAGGAAGGTGCGGAGCATGAAGTCCCACCATACCGGCCTCCAGTGTCTGGCACAGAATATGACGAGGAACCTCCGTGAATTGGAATCTTCCACATCTTGATATATGGGAGTTTCTGCTAGATATAATTTGACTTAAAAAAGAAAGAAATATGACCTTCTTCACCTAAATATTGTAGAAGAGGTAATGATTGCAACCTGGATGTTTTACATTCTGAGATGCTATTAAACCAATATTCATCACAAATGTATTGATAATTTTTTAGAAGAACAGAAGAGATCCCATCATATTAAATGAAGTGTATCAATTATAAGATGCATGCTAACTCCAGAAAAAGCAAAGCATGAAAAAAATCTGTCTTAGAATGGAAAAATACAGTAGTTAAACTATTTTTAACTGGAATTTAAATGCAACATTTTAGGATATGAAGCTGTCAACTCATTTTGAAAACTGCTGGCTCAGATGACCTCAGCGATAGGAAACCTCTAAAAGATCATGAATCTAATCAGGTAATTTTCTGTGCCTTTGCCTGAGAGTCTAGCTGAAAGTGGTGCAGTTTTTACAGAAGAGGAATAACGTGTCCCGAACTGGGAACCCTTCACCGGCCACCACTCCAGGCGGCGCTTCACTGTGGAGTTTTGGTCGCCAGAGGGCTCCAGGGGACTGCTGGGGAAGGCCAGGACATGGAAGAGGGCCTAGAGCCAGGGTTACCCGGGAGGGGGTGGACCCATTTTGCCAAGCACCTGAGGACCATACCGTACAGGATCCTCTCAAAACCACCCGCACACTAGGTGGGAATAAAGGATAAGAGAAATTAATGTGTGCTTAGCATGTGAGAGCTGACATTCAGAGTCAGCCTGAGCAAAGAGATTCATACGGAAGGACGAAGCGCATGTTGTGAGACAAAGAACACCCAATTATAAGATAGAAAACCTTGGTTCTGGGAAATTCCTGAACCTGTTTGCCCATCCATGAAAGAGTAAGAGTGATACTACCTTCTCCACCTTATTCTTGTAACAGAACTGCCCGTTTCTTTCGTGCCCACAGCTAAGTGTTTAATAGGAACAATGTGACAAATATAAGGTCATTGCTCTTACACAAAAGGTTCAAGAAAACTGAGAAAGATCTAAAAATTCCCAAAGGAATGATTTTTCAAAGTACAACATCTTAATTTACATAGAGAGAAATAATACATTTTGTCTCAAATAAAGATTTGGCCACATCCTAAGTATAGCATTGAAGAGCAGTTAAGCTATTTCTTCAAAGAAAATATATCAAAATTAAACCTGTACTTTTTGAGTGTGAATTCTAACACACAAACCTGGTGCAATATATTTAAAACAAAGCAGAGATTAATTAATTAATTAATGATTCCCCATCACCATTTTCAGAAAACCCAGTAACTTAGTGCCTTAAGATGTTCAAATCATCCCAAAAACTTGAGTTACTAAATATTTTCAAAACCCTTTCTCAAGCTTTGCTATTCTAGCTTTAGTTGGAAGAAGAAGCTTCCAAGTTAAAGATGGTAGACGAAATACTGACCCAGTTGTGTCCTTTCCCTCCTGAGAAACCATGGTGGCTATCCACGATGGAGAGAGAGCAGCGGAGACAAAAAGTGATTTGATGGCCTCGCATCCGTGAGAAGGAGCATCATCTGTGGACCTTCCTGGGGGTGAGGGGCAGAGAAGTGAGGCAGGCATCAGAAAACAGGAGGGTCGATTAAAATCTGTACATTGACAGTCAACCCTCATTATCCTCCCTCACCGATGCCAGCACCCCACCCCTCGGGTAACCAGTGAGTAGAACACCAACAACCAACAAGCAAGCAGCTGCCTTCCAGAGAGGAGAGGAGAAGGTTTTCTCCAGAGGAAGGAAACCATCCAGACCAAAGGCATCACTTACTAACATGCGGAAACCCCATCGACTCCCCGAAGCAAAACCTCTAGACGAGCCTTTCACTAATGATAACACACTCATTCTCCTTCACGTGTTACTATTAAATGTGAACAGTGAAGAATCACCACCTAGACGAGCCTTTCACTAATGATAACACACTCATTCTCCTTCATGTGTTACTATTAAATGTGAACAGTGAAGAATCACCACCTAGACGAGCCTTTCACTAATGATAACACAGACTCATTCTCCTTCTTCACGTGTCACTATTAAATGTGAACAGTGAAGAATCACCATCTAGACGAGCCTTTCACTAATGATAACACAGACTCATTCTCCTTCTTCACGTGTCACTATTAAATGTGAACAGTGAAGAATCACCATCTAGACGAGCCTTTCACTAATGATAACACAGACTCATTCTCCTTCATGTGTTACTATTAAATGTGAACAGTGAAGAATCACCACCTAGACGAGCCTTTCACTAATGATAACACAGACTCATTCTCCTTCATGTGTTACTATTAAATGTGAACAATGAAGAATCACCATCTAGACAAGCCTTTCACTAATGATAACACAGACTCATTCTCCTTCTTCACGTGTCACTATTAAATGTGAACAGTGAAGAATCACCATCTAGACGAGCCTTTCACTAATGATAACACAGACTCATTCTCCTTCTTCACGTGTCACTATTAAATGTGAACAATGAAGAATCACCAGACATTGAAGGGAAACCCATCTCAATGGGAAAAAAGACCAAGGTAAACCAGCAGGCGGAATGATTGTTGAGAACCTAACATCATAGCAAAATAAGAAATAAGAGTTTTATATTATCATTCACTTAGTGGCACTGTCTGAGGTTTCACTATACAAATATATTGCTTTGATATGTGTGTGTATATATACATACATATATATATATATATATATATATATATTTTTTTTTTTTTCTGAGTCTCGCTTTGTTGCCCAGACTGGAGTACAGTGGTGTAATCTTGGTTCACTGCAACCAAGGTCTCCCGGGTTCAAGCGATTCTCCTGCCAATTTTCATCTTTTAAGTGGAGACAGGGTTTTGCCATGTTGGCCAGGCTGGTCTCAAACTTCTGACCTCAGGTGATCTGCCCGCCTTGACCTCCCAAAGTGCTGGGATTATAGGCATGATAGAGTTTTAACTATTAGAAGAAACCAGAGGAAGCTACCATTGGAATAGATGAAACATCAGCAATACATTAAAATATCAGCAATTTCACATGTTCGAGATTACTTTTAAAAAATAAAAAGAGAACAGAATTGATTTAGTTTCTAGGCCAGCAACCAAGGAAAAAGCAAGGAATGGAAGATTTTATAATCGCATAACAATAGCAAGATCTTACATTTCTATTGAGCTTTAAAGATTACAGGCCAGGCACGGTGGCTCACGCCTGTAATCCCAGCACTTTGGGAGGCTGAGGTGGGCGGATCACAAGGTCAGGAGTTCAAGACCAGCGACCAGCCTGGTCAATATGGTGAAACCCTGTCTCTACTAAAAATACAAAAATTAGCTGGGCGTGGTGGCGGGTGCCTGTAGTCCCAGCTAGTCGGGGGGCTGAGGTGGGAGAATCGCTTGAACCCAGGAGGCAGAGGTTGCAGTGAGCTGAGATTGTGCCATTGCACTCCAGCCTGGGTGACAGAGCAAGACTCTGTCTCCTAAATAAATACATAAATAAAAATACAAAAATTAGCAGGGCGGGGTGGCACACGCCTCTAATCCCAGCTACTCGGGAGGCCGAGACATGAGAATCTCTTGAACCTAGGAGGCAGAGGTTGCAGTGAGCCAAGATTGTACCACTGCACTCCATCCTGGGCAACAGATTGAGACGCTGTCTCAAAAAAAAAAAAAAGAAAGAAAGAAAGTAGAAAAACTTCAAATAAACCACCTAACAATGCATCTTAAAGAACTAGAAGAGCGAGCCAGGCGCGGTGGCTCATGCCTGTAATCCCAGCACTTTGGGAGGCTGAGACGGGTGGATTGCTTGAGGTCAGGAGTTCAAGACCAGCCTGGCCAACATATTGAAACCCTGTCTCTACCAAAAATACAAAAAATTAGCTGGGTGTGGTGCCAGGCACCTGTAATCCCAGCTACTCAGGAGGCTGAGGCAGGAGAATTGCTCGAACCCAGGAGGCAGAGGTTGCAGTGAGCGGAGATGGCACCACTGCACTCCAGCCTGGGTGACAGAGTGAGAATCAGTCTCAAAAAAAAAAAAAAAAGAAAAGAAAAGAAAGAACGAGAAAAGCAAGAGCAAGTCAAACCCAAAATCAGAAGAAAACAAATAATAAAGATCAGAGCAGAAATAAATGAAATTGAAATAAAAAAAAATCAAAAAAACAAAAAAGTTTGTTTTTTGAAAAGATAAACAAAATTGACAAACCTTTAGCCAGACTAAGAAAAAAAGAAAAAAGACTCAAATAGATAAAATCAGAAATGTAAAAGGAGGCATTACAACGGATACTGCAGAGATTCAAAGGCTCACTAGAGACTTCTATGAAAACTATATGTTGCTAATAAATTGGAAAACCTAGAAGTGGATAAATTCCTAGACATATTCAACCTACTGTGATTGAACCACGAAGAAATCCAAAACCTGAACAGACCAATAACTAATAATGAAATCAAAGCCATAATCAAAAGTCTCCCAGTAAAGAAAAGCCCAGGACCTGAAGGCTTCACTGCTGAATTTTACCAAATATTTAAATAACTAATACCAATCCTGTTCAAACTATTCCAAAAAATAGAGGAGGAGGGGATACTTCCAAACTCATCCTACAAGGTTAATATTACCTTGATACCAAACCAGACAAAGGCACATTTTAAAAAAGAACAAAAGAAAAAAAACTTCAGGCCAATATCTTTGATGAACATTTATGCAAAAATCCACAACAAAATACTAGCAAACCTAATTCAGCAACATATTAATAATATCATTCATCACGACCAAGTGGGATTGATACCAGGGATGCAAGGTAGGTTCCACATATGCAAATCAATCAATGTGATACATCATATCAACAGAATGAAGGACAGAAATCATATGATGATTTTAATTGATGCCGAAAAAGTATTTGATAAAGTTCAACATCCCTTCATGATAAAAACCCTCAAAAAACTGTGTATAGGAGGAACATACCACAACACAATAAAAGCCATACACAACAGACCCACAGCTAGTCTCATACTGAAGAGGAAAAACTGAAAGTCTTTCCTCTAAGCTCTGGAACACCACAAGGATGCCCACTTTGACCACTGCTATTCAACATAGTGCTGGAAGTCCTAGCCAGAGCAATCAAACAAGACAAAGAAATAAAGACATGCAAATTGGAAAGAAGGAAGTCAAACTATCTTATTTCCAGATTATATGATCTTTTATTCGTAAAAACCTAAAGATTCCACCAAAAAACTGTTAGAACTGATAAACAAATTCAGTAAAGTTGCAGGATCAACAACTGCAACTTTGTTGATCAATGCCAATCAACAAAATCAACATACAAAAATCAGTAGCATTTCTATATGCCAACAGAGCAAGCTGAAAAAGAAATAAAGAAATTAATCCCACTTAACAATAACTACAAATAAAATAAAATACCTAGAAATAAACTTAACCAAAGATGTGAAAGATTTCTGCAATGAAAACTGTAAAACATTGATACAAGAAATCAAAGAGGACACACACAAAATGGAAAGATATTCCATATTCATGGATTGGAAGAATCAATATTGTTAAAATTTCCATATTACCCAAAGCAATCTACAGATTCACTATCAAAATAACAATGACATCCTTCACAGAAATAGAAAAAATAATCCTAAAATTCATATGGAACCACAAATGACACAGAATAACCAAACTCATCCTGAGCAAAAAGAACAAAACTAAAGGAATCACATTACCTGACTTTAAATTATATTACAAAGCTATAGTAAAGAAAACATCATGGTACCCACATAAAACAGATACATAGATTAATGGAACAGAATAGAGAACCCAAAAATAAAGCCATACATCTACAGTGAACTCATTTTTAACAAAGGTGCCAAGAACATACATTGGGGAAACGGCAAGTCTTAATAACTGGTGCTGGGAAAACTGGATATCCATGTAAAGAAGAATGAAACTAGACCCCTGTCTCTTGCCATATATGAAAATCAAATCAAAATGTATTAAGTTAAATCTAAGACCTGAAACTGGAAGACTACTAAAAAACAAAACAAAACAAAACAAAAACACTGGGGAAGTTCTCCAGGACGTTGGTCTGGGCACAGATTTCTGTATTATTATTATTATTACTGAGACAGAGTCTTGCTCTCTCACCCAGGCTGAAGTGCAGTGGTGTGATCTCAGCTAACTGCAACCTCCACCTCCCAAGTTAAAGTGATTCTCCTGCCTCAGCCTCCTGAGTAGTTGGGATTACAGGCACCCGCCACCACACCTGGCTAATTTTTGTATTTTTAGTAGAGATGGGGTTTCACCATGTTGGCCAGGCTGGTCTCAGTCTACTGGCCTCAAGTGATCTGCCCACCTTGGCCTCCCAAAGTGCTGGGGTTACAGATAGGGCACAGATTTATTGAGTAATACCCCACAAACACAGGCAAACAAAGCAAAAATGACCAAATGGACTCACATTAAGTTAAAAAGTTTCTGTACAGCAGAAAACAATCAACAAAATGCACATAAAACCCACAGAATGGGAGAAAATATTTGCAAACGATCCATCTATCAAGGGATTAATAGTCAGAATACACAAGGAGCTTAAACAACTCAACATGAAAAATCTAATTATCTGATATTAATATGGGCAAAAGATCTGAATAGACTTTTCTCAGAAGAAGACCTTCAGATGGCAAACAGGTTATGTAAAGGTGCTCAACATCATTGATCATCAGAGGAATTAAAATTAAAACTACAGTGAGAGATTATCTCGCCCCAGTTAAAATGTCTTTTGTGCAAAAGACAAGCAATAACAAATGCTGGCAAAGACATAGAGAAAGGGGAACCCTCATACACTGTTGGTGGGAATGTAAGTTAGTACAACCTCTATGGAGAAGAGTATTGAGTTGCCTCAAAAAACTAAAAATAGAACTACCATATGATTCAGTAGTCATCTGCATATACCCAAAAGAAAGGAAATACCAAAAAGAAAAGAAATCAGTATATCGAAGAGATATCACTATGCCCATGTTTATTGTAGCACTATTCACAATAGCTGAGATTTAGAATCAATCTAAGTGTCCCTCAACAAATGAATAACGAAAATGTGGTGCATATACACAATGGAGCACTATTAGGGCATAAAAAAGTGGCCAGGCACAGTGGCTCATGCCTGTAATCCCAGCACTAGGGAGGCTGAGGCAGGTGGATCACCTGAGGTCAGGAGTTCAAGACCAGCCTGGCCAACATGGTGAAACCCCGTCTCTACTAAAAATACAAAAATTAGCCGGGCATGGTGGTGTGCTCCTGTAATCCCAAGCTATTCAGGAGGCTGAGGTAGGAGAATTGCTTGAACCCGGAAGGCAGAGGTTGCAGTGAGCCGGGATCATGCCACTGCACTCCAGCCTGGGCAACAAGAGTGAGACTCCATCTCAAAAATAAATAAATAAATAAATAAAATAAAATGAGATCCAGTCATTTGCAACAATATGGATGAAACTGAAGGACATTATATTGAGTGAAATAAGTGAGACACAAGAAGACAAACTTCACATATGCTGTCACTTATCTGTGGGAGCTAAAAATTAAAACAATTGAACCCATGGAGATAGAGAGCAGAATCACAGTTACCAAAGGCTGGGAAGAACAGTGGGGGAAGCGGGGAAGAGAATGGGTAAAAAATATAATTAGATGAATAAGATCTAGTATTTGATAGCACAGTAGGGTGACTATAGTCAACAATAATTTATTATACATTAAAAAAACTAAAAGATTATAACTGGAATGGTTATAACACAAAGAAATGAAAAATTATTGAGGTGATAAATTTTTTAAAAAGTGGTGGGGCTGGAGCCGTGGCTCATGCTTGTAGTCCCTGCACTTTGGGAGGCTGAGGCAGGAGGATCGCTTGAGTTCAAGAGCTGGAGACCAGCCTGGGCAACATGGCGAGACCTCGTCTCTCTCCACAAAAAAATTAAAAAATTAGCCAGGCATGATGGCACGTGCCTGTAGTTCCAACTACTCAGAAGGCTGAGGTGGGAGGACTGCTTGAGCCCAGGAGGTTGAAGTTACAGTGATTGTGCCACTGCACTCCAGCCTGGGGGACAGAGGGAGACACCAGTCTCAAACAAAACAAAACAAACAAACAAACAAAAAATGTAGTAAAAATGGCCATTGTTTCCTTGTTCTTGATTTTATAGATGAACAATTCAGTTTTTTATCATAAATTTTGGATGCTAGCTGTAAGTTTTATTAGGTGCCATTTTATTAGTTTGAGAAAGCTTCCTATTATCCCTAGTTTTATAATGAAACGGTGTAAATCTGCACAAGATGCTATTTCTGCATCTATGGCATGATCATGCATTTTCTCCTTTATTCTGTCAATATGGTGAATTACCCTGATTGATTTTTCATGACTTTATTGATATATAATTTACATACAATAAAAATCATCCTTTAAGGCGGGGCACGGTGCCTCATGCCTGTAATTTCAGCACTTTGGAAGGCCAAGATGGGCGGATCGCTTGAGCCCAGGAATTGGAGACCAGCCTGGCAACATGGCGAAACCCTGTCTCTACAAAAAAATACAAAAATTAGCCAGACACGGTGGCATGCACCTCTAATCCCAGCTACTTGGGATGCTGAGGCAGGAGGATCGCTTCAGCCTGGGTGATGAAGGCTGCCGTGAATGGTGATTGCACTACTGCACTCCAGCCTGGGCAACAGAGTGAGATCTTGTCTCGAAAAAAAATTGTTAAAGACATTAAATTAAAAATATTTAAACAAAGGCTGGGTGCAGTGGCTCACGCCTGTAATCCCAGCACTTTGGGAGGCCAAGGCGGGCAGATCACAAGGTCAGGAGTTCAAGACCAGCCTGGCCAACATAGTGAAAACCCGTCTCTACTAAAAATACAAAAATTAGCCGGGCGTGGTGGCACGTGCCTGTAGTCCCAGCTACTCGGGAGGCTGAGGCAGGAGAATCGCTTGAACCTGGAGGCGGAGCTTGCAGTGAGCCGAGATCGTGCCACTGCACACCAGCCTGGGAGACAGAGCGAGACTTCTTCTCAAAAAAAATAAATAAATAAAAAATTAAACAAAGTAATGGTTGGTTGGATGCAGAAAATAGTTTAAAACATTTTTTAAATTAAAAAAATCACTCTTAAAAAGTGAATTCACTCTTTAAAAGTGTACAATTCGGTGGTTTTTAAGACATGCACAGAGCTGTATAACCAGCACCCCTACCTAATTTTAGAACATTCTGTCACTGCAAAAAGAAACCCCATACCCATTAGCTGTCACTCCCCGCTTCCTCCTCATCCAGCCCATGGCAATCATTCATCTACTTTCTGTCTGCGTAGATGTGCCTGTTCCGGGCATTTCACAGAAATCAAATCATACCTATGTGGTCTTTGGTGAAGGGCCTCTTTCACTCAGCATAGTGGGTTCAAAGTACACCCGTGTTGTAGTACTTTATTCCTATTTTTTAGAATGTTTTATTGTGGTAAAACACACATAACATAAAATACACTATTTTAGCCACTTTTAAGTATACAACTCAGTGGCACTAAGTACATTCACAATGTTGTGTAACTCACCACTATTTCCAGAGCTTTCTCTTCATCCTAAACAGAAACTCTGTGCCCATCAAGCAGTAACTTCCCGTTTCCTCTGTACCCCAGCCCCTGGCAACCTCTATTTTACTTTCCATCCCTGTGAATCTGCCTAATCTGGGTACCTCATATAACTGGAATCATACAGTATTTGTCCTTTTATGTCTGACTTATTTCACTTAACATAACGTTTTCAAGGTTCTAAAATACAAAAGGTTCCAAAAATACAAAAATTAGCCGGGCGTGGTGGCGGGCGCCTGTAGTCCCAGCTACTTGGGAGGCTGAGGCAGGAGAACGGCGTGAACCCGGGAGGCGGAGCTTGCAGTGAGCCGAGATGGCACCACTGCACTGCAGTCTGGGCGACAGAGCGAGACGCCGTCTCAAGGAAAAAAAAAAAAAGGAAGGGCAAAAACCGCCATTACTTTTCCGCCAACCCAAATCGTTGGGTGACTCAGCGCATGCGCATTCCTCTGCGGGGCCACATCTCAAGCCACAGGCTTCCCAGAGCCTATAGGAGAGATCCCACATTAATTTAATTTAATTATTTATTTATTTACTTACTTTTTTAAAAAAATTTATTTGAGACAGAGTCTCTTTCTGTCGCCCAGGCTGGAGTGCATTGGCTCAATCAAGGCTCACTGCAGCCTCGACTTCCGCGGACTTAGGTGATTTTCCCACCTCAGTCTCCCGAGTAGCTGGGACTACAGGCGCACGTAACCCCCAACCCGGATAATTTTTGTATTTTTTGGTACAGACGGGGTTTCGCTATGTTAGCCAGGCTGTTCTCGAACTCCTGGCCTCAGGTGATCCGCCTGCTTCAGCCTTCCAAAGTGCTGGGATTACAGGCCTGAGCCACCATGCGGGGCCTGAATTTCAAATTAGGTTTTTCTATTTCTGCAAAAAACACCCCTGGGATTTTGAAAGGGATTTTGCATTAACTCTGTAGATAGGCTGGGCAGTATTGTCATCTTAACAACTACGCCTCCCAATCCCCAACATGGAATATCCTTCCATTTATTTATGTCTTCTTTAATTCTTTTGGCAATGTTTTATAGTTTTCAATACATAAGTTTAAGTCTTGTGCCTCCTTCGTTAAATTTATTCCTGTGTATTTTTAATTCTTTTTGATGCTTTTTTTTTTTTTTTTTTTTTGAGACAGAATCTCACTCTGTCACCCAGCCTGGAGTGCAGTGCAGTGCAGTGGCACAATCTCACTGCAACCTCCGCCTCCCAGGTTCAAAAGATTCTCCTGCCTCAGCCTCCCAAGTAGCTGGGATTACAGCTGCGTGCCACCACACCCGACTGATTTTTGTATTTTTAGTAGAGACGGGGTTTCACCATGTTGGCCAGGCTGGTCTCGAACTCTTGACCTCAGGTGATCCACCCACCTTGGCCTCCCAAAGTGCTGGGATTACAGGCGTTGAGCCACTGCACCCAGCCAGAATTGTTTTCTTAATATCCTCTCGGAATGTTCATTGCTAGTGGATAACAATGCAGCTGATTTTCGTGTGTTGATTTTGTATCTTGCCATGTCTCTGAATTCTGGAGTGAGATGTAACCATTTTATTGTGGATTCTTTAGAATTTGCTACATGTAAGAGCGTGTCTTCTGTGAACAGAGGTGATTTTACTTCTTCCTTTCCAGTTCAGATGCGATTTATTTTTGGCCGAGTTGCTGTGACTACAACGGCTACTACTGTGTTGAATAGAAGTCCTTATCTTCTTTCTGATGTTTGGGGTAAAGTTTTAAGAAATTCACCATTGTATATGATATTAGCTGTGGGTTTTTCAGATATAACCTTTATTATTTTGAAGGAATTCCCTTCCATTCCTAGTTTATTGACTGCTTTATCATGAAAGTGTGTTGGACTTTGTCAAATACTTTTTCTGTATCAATTGAGATGATCATTTGGGGTTTTCCCCTTCATTCTATTAATGTGGTGCATCACCTTGGTTGATTTTCCTATGTTGAACCATCCTTGCATTTACAGACTAAACCTCACTTAGTCATGGTATATAATTATTTTGATAAGCTGCTAAATTTGGTTTGCTAGTATTAAACATTTTGCATCAATATTCATAATGGCGGACGGGCACAGTGGCTCACGCCTGTAATCCCAGCACTTTGGGATTCCGAGGTGGGTGGGTCACGAGGTCAGGAGTTCGAGACCAGCCTGGCTAACACGGTGAAACCCCATCTCTACTAAAAATACAAAAATTAGCTGGGTATGGTGGTGCGCGCCTGTAATCCCAGCTACTGGGGAGGGTGAGGCAGGAGAATCGCTTGAACCCGGCAGAGGGAGGTTGCAGTGAGCCGAGATCGTGCCACTGCACTCCAGCCTGGGCGACAGAGCGAGACTGTCTCAAAAAAAAAAAAAAAAAAAAAAGAAGAAGAATTCACCAGTGAAACCATCTGGTGAAGAAAAGGCCAGGTCTTACTGATTCAACCTTAGTAGTTCAGAGTCTATTCAGATGTTCTACTGCTTTATGAGTCATTTCTGGTATATCGTGTATTTCTAGGAATATGTGCATCTAATCTAGGTTATCCAATTTGTTGTATACAACTGTTTATGCTATTCTTTTATAAACCTTTTACTTTCTGTTAAATTGGTAATAATGTCTCCAATTTCATTTCTGATTGTAGTAAACTGAATCTTCTCTCTTTTTTTCTGAATCCACCTGGTTAAAAGTTTGTCAATTTTGTTGATGTTTTCAAAGAAAAACTTTGGTTTCATTGATTTTCTCTGTTTTTCTATTCTCTACTTCATTTATCTCAGCTCTGGTTCTTTATGATTTCCTTTCTTCTAGCTTTCAGTTTAATTTGCTCTTCTCTTTCTAGTTCTTTGAGGTGTACAGTTAGGTTGTCAATTTCAGATCTTTCTTCTCTTTTTAATATAATTATTATTTGTCAATTATGCCTCATAAGAAGAAAAGAATTCTGAGTAAAAAATAAAATAATACAGAATTTGTCAGCTACATAAAAAATAAAACACAGCCATATTTTATTTACAAAAGAAACATTTTAAGTATGTAGACATACATAGTCTAAAACTGAAAGGATGAAAATAGATCATGCAAATATTAACCAAGGGAAAAATTATATGGCTATATTAATATTGGACAAAGTAGATCTAAAGTAGAATTACAAGATATAAAGATACGCATTTCAAAGTAATAAAAAGATCAATTCCATAGGCAGCTCATAAATTTGTAAATATCTAAAAGCATGAATTTCAGTTATGTAAAGCTTACAGAACTATAAACTGTGGTTTATAGCTTATAACTATAGAAGTAATATACAAGTCCGGTGGGGCACAGTGGCTCACGCCTGAAATCCCAGCACTTTGGGAGGCCGAGATGGGTGGATCACGAGGTCAACAGATCAAGACCATCCTGGCCAACATGGTGAAACCCCGTGTCTACTAAAAAATACAAAAATTAGCTGGGTGTGGTGATGTGTGTCTGTGGTCCCAGATACTCGGGAAGTTGAGACAGGAGAATCACTTGAACCCAGGAGGCAGAGGTTGCAGTGAGCTGAGATCACGCCACTGCACTCCAGCCTGGTGACAGAGTGAGACTCCATCTCAAAAAAAAAAAAAAAAAATTAGTAGAAGAAGAAGTAATAATACAAGTCTGCAATCGTAGGGGACACTAATCCACTGTTTGCAGTATTTTTCTTTCATGTATAGATTTACAACTATAAATTTCCCTCTTAATGCTGTTTTTGTTGCATCTCATAAGTTTTGGTAGGTATATTTTCTTCTTCATTTATTTATCTTAAGGTATTATCTAATTTCTCTTGTGATTCTTTGTTAGCTCATTTGTATTTAAGAGTGTTAATTTCCGGCCGGGTGCAGTAGTTCATGCCTGTAATCCCAACGCTTTGGGCGGTCGAGGTGGGCAGATCACAAGGTCAGGAGTTCAAGATCAGCCTGGCCAACATGGTGAAACCGTCTCTACTAAAAATACAAAAATTAGCTGGGCATGGTGGCACACGTCTGTAATCCCAGCTACTCAGGAGGCTGAGGCAGGAGAATCGCTTGAACCTGGGAGGCAGAGGTTGCAGTCAGCCGAGATCGTGCCATTGCACTCCAGCCTGGGCAACAGAGCAAGACTCCATCTCAAAAAAAAAAAAAAAAGTGTTAATTTCCATATATGTGTGAATTTTCAAGTTTTCATTGTTATTCATTTCTAGTTTCATTCCATTGTGATTGGAAAAAATGCTTTGTCTGATTTCAGTCTGTTGAAATGTATTAAAACTTGTTTTTGGCCAGGTGCCAAAACAAGTTTGTGTCAAATCTTTTATCACTATATAATGCCCTTTTTTGTATTTTGTAATCATTTTAAAGTCTATTTTATTGATAATAATACAACCACTCAGCTCTCTTTTAATTACTATTTGGTAAAATACCTTTTTTCATCATTTTACTTCCAACATTATGTCCTTACATCTAGAGTGAATCTCTTGTTGACAACGTATAGATGGATCTTGTTTTTTTTTTTTAAATCCAATCTGCCAATCCCAGCCTTTTCATAGGAGAGTTTAATTCAGTTACATTTAATATTAGTGATAAAACTATATTTTCTTTTGCCATTTATGCATTTGTTTTTGTATGTCTTACATTTTAAAAATTCCTCAATACCTTCATTACTGCCTTTTTGTATTTTTTTAAGTGTACTTTTTAAACTCCTGTCATCATTCCATTTCTGTACATTTTTAAATTATTAACGGTTAACATGGGGGCTACAATTCACATCTTAAATGTATAACAACCTAGTTTTGTTTTGTTTTGTTTTGTTTTGTTTTGTTTTGTTTTGTTTTGAGACAGGGTCTCACTCTGTCGCCCAGGCTGGAGTGCAGTAGAGCAATCTCGGCTCACCGCAGCCTCCACCTCCTGGGTTCAAGTGATTCTCCTGCCTCAGCCTCCCAAGTAGCTGGGATTACAGGCATCCACCACCACACCCAGCTAATTTTTGTATTTTTAGTAAAGACAGCGTTTCACCGTGTTGGGCAGGCTGGCCTCTAATACTGGCCTCAAGTGATCCACCTGCCTCGGCCACCCAAAGTGCTGGGATTACAGGCATGAGCCACCACGCCCAGCCTTAAATTTGTAACAACCTAGTTTGAATAATACCAGCTTAGATCCAATAGTATATACTATGCTCCTATAAATCTGTCTTTCCCTCTTTATATGTTATTGTCACAGATTACTTCTTTATACATTGTGTACTGATTAACATAGATTTGTAATTATTGTTTTGTGCATTTGCCTATTATATAAGAAAAAGAGAAAAGCCACAAGGAATGCCGAAAGTACAATAATACTGGCTTTTATATTTATCCACATAGTTCCCTTTACCACTGCTCTGTCTTTTGGTCTCATGGCTTGAGTCGCTGTCCAGTGTCCTTTCATTTCAGCCTTATACCACTTAGCGTTTCTTGCAGATCGGTTATACTGGTAATGAGCTCCCTGAGCTGTTGTTCATCTGGAAATGTCTTTATTTTCTCCTTCATTGTTGAAGAACAGCTTTGGCAGATATAGAATTCTTGGTTGCCAGTTTTTTTCTTTCAGAACTTCATGTCATCCCCATTGCCTCTGGCCTCCATGGTTTCCGAAGAGAAGCAGCTGGTAATCTTACCCAGGCCCTCTTGAATGCGGCTGGTAATCATCTTACCAAGGCTCCTCTTCTATGTGATGTGATGTGTCAGTTCTCTTTTGCTGCTTTCAAAATTCTCCTATTCTTCCTTTGGGTTTTGATAACTTGATTATATGTCTCAGTGTGCATTTATTTGAGTATATCCTACCTGAAGTTCACTGAGCTTCTTAGATGTGTGTATTCATGGTTTTCCTCAGATTTGGAAAGTTTTAACCATCATTTCTTCAAATGTTTTTTCTTCCCGTTTATCTCTGCCTTCTTCTGGGACTTTTATAATTTACATGTTGGCATGTTTAATGGTATCCCACAGGGACCTCAGGCTCTGTTGTTTATTTTTCTTCATTCTTTTTCCACTCTGCTCTTCAGATTGGATAGTTCGTTGTTTTAGAGACAGAGTCTCACCCTGTTGCCCAGGCTAGAGGACAGTGGTGTGATCATAGCTCACTCTAATCCCCAACTCCTGGCTCAAGCAATCCTCCCACCTCCACATTCCAAGTAGCTGGGACTATAGTACCTGCCACCACACCTGGCTAATTTAAAAGAAGAATTTTTTTTTTTTTTTTTACAGATGGGATCTTGCCATCTTGCCCAGGTCTCAATTGATCCTCCTGCCCCAACCTCCCAAAGAACAGAGATTACAGGTGTAAACCACTGCACCTGCCAGACTGGGGAGTTCTAATTTTCTTATATTACAGTTTACTGATCCTTTCTTCTGCCTGCTCAAATGTGAACCCCTAGATTGATTTTCTTTTCTTTTTTTTTTTTTTTGAGACAGAGTCTCATTCGTCACTCAGGCTGGAGTGCAGTGGCACAAACATGGCTCACTGTAGCCTTGACTTGACAGGCTCAAGCGATTCTCCCACCTCCTCAGCCCCCTGAGTAGCTGAGACTATAAGTACGTGCCACCACACCCAGCTAATTTTTGTGTTTTTTGTAGAGCTGGGGTATTGCCGTGTTGCCCAGGCTGGTCTCAAATTCCTGAGCTGAAGTGATCCACATGCCTCAGCCTCCCAAAGTGCTGAGATTATAGGCATGAGCCACCATGCCCCACTCTATAGCAACTTTTTTATTTCAGTTATTTTATTTTTCAGCTCCAGATTTTCTATTTGGTTGCTTGTAATAATTTCTATCTCTTTATTGATATTCTCATTGGTTCATGTATAGTTTTCTTGATTTCCTTTATTTTTTTTCCATAGTTTCCTTTAGCTCATTGACATATTTAACACAGTTGATTTAACATCTTGGACGAATAATTCCAGTGTCTGGGCTTCCTCAGGGGCTAATTTCTGTCAAATTGGTTTCTCCCCCTCTCCGTGTGTAGGCTACACATTCTTGTTTCTCTGTTTTGTAATTTCCTCATTGAGAACTGGAAATATTTGAACACTGTGTTGCAGTAACTCTGGAGATCTAATTCTCTCAGTCCTCAGGGGTTGCAGAACCTTGTTTATTGAGTGTTGGAGCCATCCATTGTGACTTTTCCGAACTATTTTTTGCGAAGCATGCCTTGTTATGTGTGGTCACTAAGGTTTTTGTTCTATTACCTCAGCAGTCACCTTCCCCAGTCAAAAGCAGCAATCAGCCATCAAAATACAGAATCCTGAGGTTTGGAAGACAAGGTTCTTATTGCCCACCCCGGCTTCCGGAAGCCACCCCAGGAATAGAGACCACCCTTCTCTCAGCTGCCTGCTGTGGGGCTGGGAAGTGGGGATTTGAGGCACTACCGACAAAGCCAAAAATTGGGTTCTCTCCTGGATGTTGCACATGTTCAACTAGACCCCAGTTCCACAATAATGACTCGGAACAGTTCCTGACAACGCAATGGTCGTTAAGTGGAAAGATGGCTTCCTGGCACTTCCTAATATACCACCACCTATGACATCACTCCATTTCTTTTCATTGCCAAAGCATATTCCCTTGTGTGCTTACATCATATTCCCTTGTGTGCTTACATCATATTCCCTTGTGTGCTTACGTCGTATTCCCATGTGTGCTTATATCGTATTCCCTTGTGTGCTTACATCATATTTTGTTTATTTGTTCATCTGGTGATAGACTTTTGGGCTGTTTCCAATTTGAGGCTATTATAAATAATGCTGCTATGAACATTCCCATATACATTTTTATGTGGACATGTTTTCATTTATCTTGGATATATACATACGCATGGAATTGCCAGATATACTGATTTTTTAATGTTAAACTACACTTGCACTCCTGTAATAAACTCTACTTGGTCATGATATATTGGATTCAATTTGCTTGTATTTTGTGAAGGATTTTTGCACATATATTCATGAAAATATTGGTCTGTAATTTTTGTTTTTATACTATCTTTGTTAGTTTTGGGCATGTTATGTTGGCTTCATAACAAGTTGGACAATTGTTCCTCCTCTATGTTCTAAAAAAGTTTGTGTAATTGAGTTGTGAGGTGGGGTTTCGCTCTTGTTGCCCAGGCTGGAGTGCAGTGGCGCAGTCTCAGCTCACCATAACCTCTGCCTCCCAGGTTCAAGCAATTCTCCTGCCTCAGCCTCTCAAGTAGCTGGGATAACAGGCACGCACCACCAACGCCCAGGTA
Organism: Homo sapiens; assembly: GCF_000001405.40. Taxonomy (NCBI): domain Eukaryota; kingdom Metazoa; phylum Chordata; class Mammalia; order Primates; family Hominidae; genus Homo; species Homo sapiens. The sequence goes on from NC_000003.12 coordinate 196,043,522, forward strand.
ATTTTTGTATTTTTAGTAGACGTGCGGCTTCACCATGTTGGCCAGGCTGGTCTCGAACTCCTGACCTCAAGTGATCCACCCATCTTGGCCTCCCAAAGTGTTAGGATTACCGGTGTGAGCTGCTGCGCCCGGCGTCGTTACGGTTTTGAATTACACCTATGTACACCTGTCTTACTGAACACAGGAAAGAGATATTCGTCACAGATCTATGATGGTCATTACATTTATTTCCTCAATCAATAAAAGAGAAATAACACGTAGGAAAGATGAGTTACTATTCCCGAGAAACAACCAATCAAGAACATATCGAATCCAAACTAATGATGTGAAATATTAGTTCTTATGTCAGGAATGTGATCCTGCTTTTACTTGAGTGAAATTAAAGTGTGGAAATTGGCCGGGTGTGGTGGCTCACACCTGTAATACCAGCACTTTGGGAGGGTGAGGCAGGCGGATCACCTGAGGCTGGGAGCTCGAGACCAGCCTGGCCAATATGGTGAAACCCCGTCTTTACTAAAAATACAAAAATTAGCCAGGAATGGTGGCGGATGCCCGTAATCCCAGCTACTCAGGAGGCTGAGGCAGGAGAATCGCTTGAGCCCAGGAGGTGGAGGTTGCAGTGAGCCACCTCTGTACTCCAGCCTGGGTGAGGGAGTGAGATGCTCTCTCCAAAAAAAAAAAAAAAAAAAAAGGAACAAAAAGTGTTAAATTTGAGGTCAAGGAGAAGAAAGTGGACCACAATTTTATATAGGTAATATTTTTGTGATGGAAGTAAAATAGACATGCAGATTTAAAAATAATAATTGTATATATGGGTCTACTCAGATGTCCTGATTTTACGTTAATTTTGGTAATTTGAATATATCAATAAATTCGTCTACTTATATTTAAGTTGTCAAATTTGGGGACATAAAGTTGTTCAGAGAGCCAGACGCAGTGACTCACACCTAGAATCCCAGCAACTCGAGGCTGAGGTGGGAGGATCACTTGAGGCCAGGAGTTCAAGACCAGCTTGGGCAACATAGCAAGAGCTTGTCTTTAAAAAAAAAAAAAAAAATTAAGGCCGCTACCGCCGGCCTGTGCCCGCCTGTGTGGCGCGGGCCTGGAGGAGCCGTCGTGGGCTCGGGTGGAGGCTGCTCCTGTGGAGGGTCGTCCTGGCTCACAGCCGCCATCATGCTAGCGCTCATCTGCCGCCTGCCGGACGGTCCCCTTCGCTCGTCTGGAAGGAGGAGATGGAGCCGATGCTCGTGGGCTGCAGTACTCGGGCAAGGCCACCTTCGTCACTGCCATCACGTCAGGTGAATTCAGCGGAGATATGACGGCCACAGTGGGTTTCAACACGAGGAAAGTAACTAAAGGTCATGTCACAATAAAGATCCAGGACCGGCCGGGCGGTGGCTCACGCTTGTAATCCCAGCACTTTGGGAGGCCGAGGCGGGTGGATCGCCTGAGGTCAGGAGTTCGAGACCAGCCTGGGCAACACGGTGAAAGCCCCATCTCTACTAAAAATACAAAAAATTAGCCGGGCGTGGTAGCGGGTGCCTGTAATCCCAGCTACTCGGAGGCTGAGGGAGAAGAATCGCTTGAACCCGGGAGGCGGAGCCTGCAGTGAGCCGAGATCGCGCCACGTCACTCCAGCCCGTGTGACAGCGACGAGTCAAGGCTATTGTTTACAGGATAGATGCTGCAGATCGTAAGAAGATAGAAGCTTCCCGAAACGAGCTACATAATCTTCAACAAGAGCAAAACTCCAAGTCAAAAACAAAACAAAAAAAAATTGAGACTTGTTTTACCACCCAATGTATTAGTCCATTCTCACATTGCTTTAAAGAACTACCTGAGACTGGGTAATTCATAAAGAAAAGAGGTTTAATTGGCTCATGGTTCCGCCGGCTACACGGGAAGCATGACTGGGGAGGCCTCAGGGACTGCGCCATCATGGCAGAAGGCAGAGGGGAAGCAGGCGCATCCCACACGGCTGGAGAAGGAGGAAGACAGCAAAGGCGCTGCGCACTCTCAAACTACCCGATCTCGTGGGATCTACCATGACAGCAGCAAGGGGGCATTCCGCCCCCGTGATCCAACCACCTCCCACCAGGCCCCCTCCTCCAACACTGGGGATTACGATTTGACCTAAGATTTGGGCAGGGACACAAATCCAAACCGTATCACCCAGTATATGGTCTATCTTGCTGAATATACCACATATACCTAAAAAAAGTATATTTTGCAGTTGTTGAATGTGGTGTTCTACAAATGTCAAGTAGATTGAGGTGGCTGATACAGTGGTTCAAATAATTTGTCCTGATTTTTTTGGTCTAGCTTCTCTATTTACTGCTAAGAAATGGGTGTTAAAATCTATTTTAATGGCAGAATTTTCATTTCTTTTTCATGTATTTTAAGGTGCATACGTATTTATAAGTCTGCTATCTTCCTGAATGGCTCTCTTTACAATTATAAAATATTCCTATCTTTACGGTACTATCTGTTCAAAGTCTATTTAATCTTATATTTATATAACCATTCCAGTCATAGTATGCTAGTGTACATATTGTATTTTTTCCCCTTTCAATTCATCTGTCTTTAAAGTTTCTTATAGGCAGCATATAAATGGGCCTTGATTGTTTTTTAATCATCAGTCTTGATTAGAATGTTAACATGTCAATAATGTAATTATTGATATGGCTGGACTCAGCATGCCACTTCACCAGTTTTTTTGTTTGTTCCTCTTTTGGTTCCTGCCAATTCTTTCCCTTTTGAGGTCACTTCTCCAAGTTTTACTCCCCTCCACTGTTTGCCTACCTTTGTTTACATCTCAGGTTTGGGAGAGTTTTCCCCCCGTCTTACTGAGCTTCTGGCTGTAAGCAGCAGGAGGGATAGGTTGTAGGAGGCTTATGTGGTGACTGTGGAACCAGAGCCCCCATATATGCTTTTAGGAAGATCTGGTATAGAATTCTCATTTATGCACAGACAACTTTGAAAATGTACATAAGAAATCGGTAAATGACCAGGCCCAGTGGCTCACACCTGTAATCCCAGCACTTTGGGAGGCTGAGGCAGGTGTATTACTTCAGTCCAGGAGTTTGAGACCAGCCTGGGTAATAAGGCAAAACCCCATCTCTCAAAAAATACAAAAATTAGCTTAGCTGGGCATGGTGTTGCCTGTCTGTAGTCCCAGCTACTCTCAGGAGGCTTAGGTAGGATAGCTGGAATCCAGGAGGCGGAGGTTGCAGCAAGCTGAAATCATGCCACTGCAATCCAGCCTGGGTGACAAGAGCGAGACCATCTCAAAATAAAAAAAGAAAAATTGGTAATTGTGGAGATTTAGAGGGATGACAACTCTGGAGACTAAGAGGAAAATACTTTTTAATACAGACTTTTCTGCACTTTGACCGTATGTGAATATTTTCAAAAAAGGCATTAAAAATTATACAAAGCTGGCCAGGTGCGGTGGCTCACGCCTTTAATCCCAGCACTTTGGGAAGCCAAGGCGGGCGGATCACCTGAGGTCAGGAGTTCGAGACCAGCCTGGCCAACATGGCGAAACCCCATCTCTACTAAAAATACAAAAATTAGCCGAGCATGGTGGCATGCACCTGTAATCTCAGCTACTGGGGAGGCTGAGGCAGGAGAATCGCTTGAACCTGGAAGGCAGAGGTTGCAGTTAGCTGAGATCACGCCATTGCACTCCAGCCTGGGCAACAAGAATGAGACTCCATTTCAGAAAAAAAAAAAAAAGAAAAGAAAAGAAAATTATACAAAGCTGTCCATTTGGGGTGGATTAAGCATGAGGCAGCTTAAAGGGCAAATGCAGCAAACTGCAAAGGCTTTATTTAACTCAGCACCTAAACCTGTTGACAGCCACAAGGAAGACATTGGTATCTGATATTGAATTCTAGGCAAAGCTGTCTTGCAGATAACCAGGTGTTTTACAAATATTTGTTTAGGACAGCTTCCTAACCCATGACCTTTCACATAGGCAGTTTCTCCCGTAGAATACAGCAGTTTAATAATCATCTTGCTTCTCAAGGGTATGAATGTGGCTAATTTGGACACGGGAAAGCTGGGGCATAGGTGAGGCAATTAGGCTTCCAATTCTAGGGGCCACAATTTTCGTGGCCATACTTAAGAATCCTGGCTGGCACTCATAGCAATGAGATTCAATTGTGTGATGGATTTTTTGGTAACCACACGGTAGAAGGCCAAAATAAGAAAACTCTCAACAATTACGCCTTTTGCTATAGAGCTGGTGTCCACTAACCATGTGGCTACTGAGCACCTGAAATGTGGCTAGCCAAAACTGAGATGTGCATTGCTTGAGGTACAAGGGAGTTTGAAGACACGGTATGGAGCACACCTGTAATCCCAGCCTCTCAGGAGGCTGAGGCACAAGAATTGCTTGAACTTGGGAGGTGGAGGTTGCAGTGAGCTGCGATGGCACCACTACACTCCAGCCTAGGCGATGGGGCGAGACTGTCTCGGGAAAAAAAAAAAAAAGGAGGCAGAGCGTGGTGGTGGCTCACACCTGTAATCACACACTTTGGGAGGCTGAGGTGGGCAGATCACTTGAAGTCAGGAGTTCAAGATCAGCCTGGCCAACATGGTGAAACCCCATCTCTACTAAAAATACAAAAATTAGCCAGGCGTGGTGGCCCACACTTGTAATCCCAGTTGCTCAGGAGGCTGAGGCAGGAGAATCACTTGAACCCAGGAGGTGGGGGTTGCGGGGAGCCGAGATAGCGCCACTGCGCCCCAGCCTGGACGACAGCAAAGATTCTGTCTCAAAAATAAATAAAATTACATATGTGGTATATGGTGACAATATATTGTATATTTAGAAATTGCCAATAGAGGCTGGGCATGGTGGCTCACGCCTGTAATCCCAACACTTTGGGAGGCTGAGGCAGGCGGATCACCTGAGATCAGGAGTTCAAGACTAGCCCGGCCAACATGGTGAAACCCCACGTCTACTAGAAATATGAAAATTAGCTAGGCGTGGTGGCAGACACCTGTAATCCCAGCTACTCGGAGGCTGAGGTAGGAGAACTGCCTGAGGCGGAGGCTGCAGTGGGCTGAGATCGCCCACTTAGAAGACAGCAGCAATCATGTACCTTGGTATTTACCTAAAGAGCTGAAGACCTATGTTCACAGAAAAGATATACACACAGGTGCTTATCAGTTTATTCATAACTGCCAAAACTTAGAAGCAAGATTACTTAGTAAGTAGGTGAGCTAGATAAACTATGGTAACTGCAGACAACAGAATATTGTTCTGTGCTAAAAAGAAATGAGGTATCATGTCATGAAGACATGGAGGAAACAAATGCTATTGCTTAGTGAAAGAGGCCAATCTGAAAAGGCTATATTCTGATTCCAACTGTATGACAGTCTGGAAAAGGTAAAATTATGGATATAGTAAGATCTGTGGTTACCAGGGCCTTATAGAAGAGATGGATGAATGGGCAGAGCACAAGATTTACAGCAATAAAAACTATTCTGTAAGCTACTAGAATGATATTACATATTTGTCAAAAACCGTAGAACAAACCCTAACGTAAACAGTAGACTAATGATGCTGACGGTGCTAATGGTGCACCCGTGTAGGCTGCCCATTGTAACAAATATGCCGCTCTGGCGCAAGCTGTTGACCGTCATGGAGGATGTGTAAGTGGCAGAAACAGTGGATGTGTGGGAATTCTGTTTAATTTTGCTATGAGCCTAAAACTGCTCTTTTTAAAAAATTTATCTAAAGAAATGACAACTCAGTGTTTAAGTATTTTATTAAATCAGACAAGGAATCTCCACACTGTTGCACATAACAGCTTTTATACAATGATAAGGACATATCATTTGTTTACAAAGAAAGTCTAAAATTTCAAGAACATTCAAAGAGCTAACACAGTAAAGGTCATGCAAGTTCTAGAATAGTGAATCATGACAGAACTCATTCATTTTATCCTTTACCTCCAAAAGGCCCATCTCCTTAACGAGAAGACATCTCAAGACCAGGAGCTTGTCACTAGTCTGATATTTCATTCAGGAATATTGAGCCTGTTAGCACGTACTGGCTTGATAGGAAGTAACTCAACCCTAACTGTAGAAAAGGGTTTTCTGAAGAGACTCACTGCTGCAAAATGCATGCCCTGTATTCATATTGTGTTATACGATGAACATGCCACATGCTTTCATTTAAGTACGTGTGCGTAACACCCGAACCAGGAATCTCAGCTATGACCTTTTCACTTAGCTACGCTAAATGTCAGTCCAAGATAAAAGAGGAGATTAAAGATAAAACTGAAGATTAAAGAGACTGTGAGTAGTGACACATTCAAGTGAGGCTGTAAATCTAGGTAAGTGACACTAAGAACCTGAAGAGACCCTATGAACTTTTCCCTAGGAGGCCGTTTCCAACTGCCCTATGACAAACAGCTGATCATCACGTTTATAATGATGGTTCACTCACGGAGCTTCGAACTTATTCATACCTACATTTAATTGATCACCACGAATGGGTAGGCAGACGTGTCAGACCTTCAGGGGACTCTCCTTCCCCACAGCCCCCAAACCTTCTATACAAAGTCCCTCTGCTTTAAGTCAAAAGGTCAATTCTGGATTAAAACTTGTCCGCACTAAGTTTATAGGAGGTAACATGCAAATAATGTGATAAAGTTAAAATGACTTGTCAATAGCAAACATTATAAATGTATGCTACTATCTCATTAAGTAGAGGACCTGGAGAAACCATAAAGGTAACAAAAACCCAAGCTAAATTTCAAATTTTGTAGTAATTTCATTTTACAGTGGTTGAATTTACCCACCCAATGCTTAATGACCACAAAATGTTTCTGCAACTAAAACTAAAAGATAGGGAATTATAGGAGTTGGGATACATGTTAGATACTAACGATCTTCAAGCTTTGAAGATGTCATTGCATGAAGAAAATTATGGGAAACACTGTTCCCGATAATTACTTACACCCTTAGTGTAACATATGGAGATCACTGTCTCCGATACAGACACTGTGGTAGGTAAAAACTACCTTGTTCTTTATACATTATGGAAGACACTGCTCCCGATAATGTGTTAGGATTGTGACAAAGGTACTGGAAATTTTGCAAAATGGGAATTAGAGTTACACCTTGGATAAACTGAGCTATAAAATTTTGCAGGAGTACTACCACAGCCTTTAAGTGACATTGATTTATAACTTGGTCACAATTCACTGCATTTAGGAAAACCAGCATTCTTATCTGGTCAGTGCTCGCTTCTTAGCAACCCCTAATTAAATTTAATTCATCTCTAAATCTTAGCTTCAACTTTATTCAATTACATTTGGCTGACGGCTGTTTTCTAAAACCCTTAAGTGTTGACCATAAATGCAAAACTTCCAGTATCTGTTGGGTTTTATTAGCAGATGCTGCTTTTATTTAAAAAAAACCGACAGTATAACTGTCATAATTATGGAAGGCACTGCTTCCGATAATTATATTCTATTAAAAAAACACCATTTATAGTGAACTCTGTCACTGATAAATAAACAATAAATATCTCAGTGCCAAAAGGACAGAAAGCTCTCCCCTAAGATTAACACTTTGGCCAAAATTTGGCAGCATATTATTCTTTAAAGTCTGACAAACTGAGTCTGCAACTAAACACCTGAAACTGGTTCTCTTTCAATGTGCTTTGGAAGAAACAAAAATAACAAAGAACTAAATGGAGGCTTATGGGGGAAGGGACAGAGGAAAAGAAAATATACTAAGTCTTTGGCTTCTGGTCCCCTCTTTTCATAAATGACACTGAGGTTAACATATTAAGGCCTTATTCCTGCAATCAACAGTTGAACCTCATTTTATCCAGCAGAAGGACCTCCATTTCAGACCTCATTGGCAAGAAAACAAGCCCATCTCTTCTGAAAGTTAACTGTTTCTTTCAGGAATGAGGAAACCAGCTACATTCCTTATGGAAAGGCTTAGATCTCATTTGGAGAAGGTCTTTCAACCTGGTATCTCCTATTTAGCATCAAATGAAGTTGGAGGATCACTCAAAGTAAGCGACCACTTACAACCTTCAGCAGAGACCAGCCCTTAGGATTCAGAGAGATCATTCACATAACTGGTTTCTGACATTTTCATTAACAACAACAGGAAAGAGGCAGTTCCCATTACAAAGCACTTAAAATTCTAGAGATAGGGGAATATTCCATCATGGACATTTTTTAAGTGGTTATTCACTTTAACTTGAAGTACAGGTTATCTACCCTGTATTAAAAGCTGCTGCCTAAAGACATCTAGTAGTACCAAGATGATGGGATGGAATTTTAACATCAGGTTTTGTAGCCCTACTGAAAATTTAGCACGATCAGCACAAGTCTAGAAACCAGACTACCCTGCTGTTCTCATGGAAGCTATGGGTATCACATTTAAAACTCATTGTCAATGTCCCAAACGTCACCAGAGAGGGCATTTGCAGCTCCCTGAATAGTCCAAGTAGCTAGAGCCAACTGGTTTCTGAACAGCGTTTCATTAAAAGCACCGTTATTTTGTTTACGCAGTTTCAAGTTCTCCAGTAAAGCTGGCAGCGTGTGAGAGCCGGAGCCCCAGAAGACATGTCGGAAAGGAGACTCTTTTGGAGATACGTAGGGAGAGAGGAAGTGATACTCCACCTACGAAAACAACACACAAGGCAATTTACACAGCCCTGTGACTTTTGTAGTAAAACAACAGTTCACTTCAAATGTAAAATGTCCCAAATTTAAGAATGCCGATCAGACTTTTTTTTTTTTTTTTTTTTTTTGACACAGAGTTTCGCTCTTGTTGCCCAGACTGGAGTGCAACAGCGCTATCTCGGCTCACTGGTACCCTCCACCTCCCGAGTTCAAGCAATTCATGCTGGGATTACAGGTGTGAGCCACCGTGCCCGGCTTTTTGTTGTTGTTGAGACAGAGTTTCGCTCTTGTTGCCCAGGCTGGAGTACAATGGCGCGATCTCAGCTCACTGCAACCTCCACCTCCCGGGTTCAAGTAATTCTCCTGCCTCAGCCTCCTGAGCAGCTGGAATTACAGGCATGCACCACCACGCCCAGCTAATTTTTGTATTTTTAGTAGAGATGGGGTTTCTCCATGTTGGTCAGGCTGGTCTTGAACTCCTGACCTCAGGTGATCCGCTTGCCTCGGCCTCCCAAAGTACTGGAATTACAGGCATGAGCCACTGTACCCAGCCAGCTGATCAGACTTTCTATAGCAGAGTAAGGAAAAAAGAATGCTGAGAACCAGGCTAATGCTAATCTTCTAAGGTTAAAATTCTAAAGGAGGCTAGGCACAGCGGCTCACGCTTGTAATACCAGCACTTTGGGAGGCCAAGGCAGGTGGATCACTTGAGGTTGGGAGTTCGAGACCGGCCTGGCTAACATGGTGAAACTCCGTTTCTACTAAAAATACAAAAAATGAGCCGGGCGTGGTGTTGGGCACCTGTAATCACAGCAACTCGGGAGGCTAAGGCAGGAGAATCACTTGAACCTGGGAGGTGGAGGGTGCAGTGAGCCGAGACCGTGCCATTGCACTCCAGCTTGGGCAACAACAGTGAAACTCTGTCTCAAAAAAAAAAAAAATTTTTTTAAAGGAAACTGATTCATTTTACAAAGGAAAACTTTAAATGTGTTCAGATTCTTTTCCCCATTGGAGCATACATGGAAGTTTTACAGCAAGTCTCTTCCAAAAAGACTAGGTTTGACTAAGTTCTGAATTAGACAGCAGAAACAGAAAATGACAGCTAAACCATTAATGCTCCCTTCTTAAAGGAATTCTAGACTCCTAGAGTTTGTCCACTTTGCAGAAGTGTAAGATTTATCGGTTATTTTACACATACTTTAGTTCCTCCTTTCCCAAAAGTTCACTTACTCTCATGACACGATCATTGAGTTTCTTCATGACAAATCTGTCTGTTTTCTCAGCATTCCCGAAATCTGTTGTTAGTCTGGAAGTAGCACGGAAGAAGTCTCCACGAGCAGAATACAGCCACTGTAAACTCAGGCCCATTTCCTGAAACAGACATTATTCGCTATGAGAAGTTTTATTTCTAAGGACATTCTTTTGTATGCCTTTCTAATTTAACGTGCGTTAAGTAAGATTCTGATAAAAGGAACTCGCAGATAAGCTCAAGACTCCGAAAGCACCTTGCACAGGGGTTCCAAGCTCTATGGACTGTGATATACACTCATATTTGAGCCCAGCATGTAAGAAAACCATTCTCATTAAGAAATTGAACATAATTATATAATCCTATGTACTATATTGTTTCCAGTTCAATTCTCCTTTTGGGGGAAAATGTCCCTATAGGGGAAAACATTTTGGTTCAAGGTACTTCAGGATTTAGTTATTTCCACCTGGTAAGTTCCATTTTCAACAGTTACAATTAGTTTCAAGAAAGACATAAGATGCCGGGCGTGGTGGCTCATGCCTGTGATCCCAGCACTTTGGGAGGCCGAGGTGGGTGGATCACCTGAGGTCAGGAGTTCAAGACCAGCCTGGCCAACATGGTAAAACCCCGGCTCTACTAAAAATACAAAAAATTAGCCGGGCGTGGTGGCCGGCACCTGTAGTCCCAGCTACTCGGGAGGCTTAGGCAGGAGAATGGCGTGAACCCGGGAGGCGCATCTTACAGTGAGCCGAGATCTCGCCACTGCACTTCAGCCTGGCCAACATGGTAAAACCCCGGCTTCTACTAAAAACACAAAAACTATCTGGGCATGGTGGCACACGCCTGTAATCCCAGCTACCTGGGGAGCCGAGGCAGGAGAATCGCTTAAAGCCGGGAGGTGGAGGTTGCAGTGAGCCGAGATCATGTCATTGCATTCCAGCCTGGGGGACAAGAGCGAGACTTCATCTCTCAAAAAAAATAAAATAAAAATAAAAATAAAAAAGATATAAAAAGATTCGGTTGTCAGTGATTTACTTCAATTAAGAGATCTGTTAAAAATCAACTCCTAGTACCATAAAACAATCTGGAAGCTACTTTAATATTAGTTTTATTAATTTATTTAGAGATGGGATTTTGCTATGTTGCCTGGGCTGGACTCCAGCAATCCTCCTGCCTCAGCAGAAGTAGCTGGGGCTACGGGTATGCACCACCTCACCCTGCTTATCAGTTTCGTTTAATAGAATATTTGACTTTTAGATGCGCAGATCACTACGAGATGGAATCCTGCTAGCTGTGCTGTCTTTCCATCCGGGTCACGCCCGAGAGGCACACAGCCCAACTCCTTGCTGAGATCTTCATATTCCGTGTCCTACTGACGGGCTGCCTGGGAGACATGAGTGACAGAAAACCTGACACTGCTCTGGATTCTGAAACACCTGCTGAGCTCTGTCCTAGGTCTCTAATCCACAGCCTCCCGACTTCTCTCAAACAAGTTACCAATTCTACATACAATTATACCTCAGTTCACTTTAAAATGTACTATGGCTACAATCACCCTTCCAACAGGAACACACAGGAACACATCACATTTCAAAATACTTGACATTCAGCAAAATAAAAACGTAATTGGAATCAGTGCTCACCTTTATGTCTGCTCTGTATTGGTTCAGATCCCTCACAAATGAAAGCAGTTGGCTGTTGTACCTCTCATAGTCCAGGTTCAATTCAACATCATGGGTTAGTTTAATCACGAACTGACCAGCGACCTCTGCAGCTGCTCGTGCCACTTTGTTCAACTCAGGAATCCTCTCAATCAGTTCCTTATAGGTGTCCATGGTGGTACCCAAATAAGGATAATCTGTGTCCTGCAAGACAACGCGAGGCTATGGTACTCACGTGAGTTCTAAGAGCAAGAGCCTCACATTCTGGCTTCGCCATCGAGGTAACAGTGACGACAGTTCCACCCTTGCTTCTAACATATTCCTACCGCAATTTACCCCAATTCTATCTCATTATCTGCTGCTTTAAGTACATTCTTGCTACTTCTCTCAAGCTAACCTACTCCTAGAGTGACTACTTTCTTCCAGGTTCTACAGAATCCCTGTTCTATCGTATCATATGCCCTGAATAGACTTCTAGCCAAATTCCTTAAGGCTGTATGTTTTTCTCTCTGGGAAGTTTGGGCCTTTATCAATGAAAAAAGAGAAGATACATGAAACATACCTTGAGACGAGGTCTCTCTGTCACCCAGGCTAGAGTGCAGTGATGCAATCACGACTCCCCACAGCCTTGAGACAAGGTCTCTCTGTCACCCAGGCTAGAGTGCAGCAATGCAATCATGACTCCCCGCAGCCTTGAGACAAGGTCTCTGTCACCCAGGCTAGAGTGCAGCGATGCAATCATGACTCCCTGCAGCCTTGAGACGAGGTCTCTCTCTGTCACCCAGGCTGGAGTGCAGTGATGCAATCATGGCTCCCTCTAGCCTTGAGACGAGGTCACTCTGTCACCCAGGCTAGAGTGCAGTGATGCAATCACAGCTCCCCGCAGCCTTGAGACGAGGCCTCTCTCTGTCACCCAGGCTGGAGTGCAGTGATGCAATCATGGCTCCCTGCAGCCTTGAGACGAGGTCACTCTGTCACCCAGGCTGGAGCGTGGTGATGCAATCATGGCTCCCCACAGCCTTAAGCTCCTAGCTCAAGTGACCCCCCTGCCTCAGCCTCCCAAGGAGTTGGGACTACAGCTGGCCACTGGGCCACTTAATTTAAAAAATTTTTTGTAGAGATATAGTCTAGGCACGTTACCCAGGCTGGTCTCACTCCTGGCCTCAAGTGATCTGCCCACCTCAGCCACCCAATGTGCCGGAATTATAGGTGTGAGTTACTGCACCCAGCCTGAGGAAAATACTGTTCAGCTGGACTGTCCAATAGATAGCCACTGCTCAATCACTCAAGAAATTCAGCCTTGGTTTTTTTTTTGTTGTTGTTAGACGATCTTGCTCTGTTGCCCAGGCTAGAGTGCAATGGCACGATCTCGGCTCACTGCAACCTCTGCCCCCTGGGTTCAAGCGATTCTTCCACCTCAGCCTCCTGAGCAGCTGGGATTATAGGCATGTGCCACCATGCCCAGCTAATTTTTTTGTATTTTTAGTAGAGATGGGGTTTAACCATGTTGGCCAGGCTGGTCTTGAACTCCTGACCTCAAGTGATCTACCCGCCTTGGCCTCCCAAATGCTGGGATTACAGGTATGACCCACCACACTCGGCCAAGCCTCATTATTAAAACTCATAAAGAAGTTTTAGCAATAAACTCAAATGCTAATTAAGCTAATTGAGATTAACAAGTCTATGTTAAAACTAATAATGAAGGAACATGCAATAATTACATGTGTATAACTTTTTTTTTTGAGACAGGGTCTTGCTCTGTCACCCAAGCTGCAGTGCAGTGGCTCCATCTCAGCTCACTGCAACCTCTGCCTCCCAGGTTCAAGCGATTCTCCTGCCTCAGCCTCCTGAGTAGCTGGGGTTACAGGCACACGCCACTATGTCCGACTAATTTTTGTATTTTTAGCAGAGACGGGGTTTCACCATTTTGGTCAGGCTAGTCTCAAACTCCTGACTTCGTAATCCGCCTTCCTTGGCCTCCCAAAGTGCTGGGATTAAGGGAGGAGACCACCCCTCATATTGTCTTATGCCCAATTTCTGCCTCCAAAGAAAGAAGAAGTAAAAACTAAAAGGCAGAGGTGGACAGCCCAGCGCTGCCGCACCCTGGTCCTGGTTAAAGATCGAGCCCTGACCTAACCAGTTATGTTATCTATAGATTCCAGACATTGTATAGAAAAGCACTGTGAAAATCCCGTCCTGTTCTGTTCTGTTCTAATTACCGGTGCATGCAACCCCCAGTCACGTACCCCCTGCTTGCCCAATTGATCACGACCCTCTCACGCAGACTCCCTTAGTTGTAAGCCCTTAAAAAGGTCAGGAATTGCTCACTCGGGGAGCTCAGTTTTTGGAGACGTGAGTCTTGCCAAAGCTCCCAGCCAAATAAAGCCCTTCCTTCTTTAACTCGGTGTCTGAGGGGATTTGTCTGCGGCTTGTCCTGCTACAGGATTACAGGCGTGAGCTACCACATCCAGCACATGTGTATAACTTCTTAAAACATTTTAAGCACTGCAGTAAATTTGGTCTCAAAGTTGACACAAGAAGATCCATGGCCAGGTGTAGTAAGTAGCTCTTGCCTATAATCCAAACAGTTTGGAGGCTGAAGGGGGAGGACTGCTTGAGGCTGCAGTGAGCCATGATCGGGCCACTGCACCCCAGCCTGGGTGACAGAGCAAGTCACCATTGTCAAAAAAAAAAAAAAAAACAAAACAAAAAACAAACAAAAAAAACCCAACAACTAAGATATGTGCAAGTTGTCAAAATCAAAATGGAGTCACTAGTGTTAACAAAAATGCAACCCTGAAGAGAAGGGTCTCACCCTTGTATGTCTGATAACAAGGATTAAGGGTTTTTTTTTTTCCTTTTTACAAAAACTACAACCTTACACAAAGGCCACTGCAACCTTGCACCAAAAAACTTCTCTCGTGAGAAAATCTGCCTAGCAACTGCCTGTCAACCTTGGACTGGTGTCATCCTTGTTATTGATCTTGGTAGCCAAGAATAATTACCTCAAAGTAATTTTGTAATCCTCGTCATTTGTCCTTAAAAACTTGTTTTCCTTTACTCCTCTGAATATGTACATAGTTGACTATAGCACAGGCATTCCCATTGCAATGCCCTATTCCCAAATACAGATCACTTCCTTTTAGAGAGCCTCTCTCCATTTGTCATTTAAATGAACAGACTTACCTCGCAAAAACAGAAAGAAACTGCTGGGATTCCAGAATATGCAAGGAAAGGGAAAGCAGCATTGTCTAAAGTGAGTTTCTCACTGCAAAGACAAAGAATGTGTCTTTAGAAAGTGTTTTAAAGAATAGACTGTTCTATCGTGCTAGTCCCCCCATCCAAAATAAATTCTTTAGCTGAATATCTTTAGGTGTAAGTAAGTTCAATGCAAGGACAGATTTAGATTCTACCTAATGTAGTAGGTAGAATCTCTGCTTTTCTATTAGTTTGTTCATTCACTTTTCTCAACTTACACTTTGCTGGCCCAGTTGCTGTCCTGATATAGAAATTGCCCAGTAACCGGATGCTTCACCTGTAAGATAAGAAATTATCATTAAAACTAACCTTTTGGAACTTATTTATTCAGGCTAGTCACTAACATGTTACTCTATAACAATTTTTAAATAAAAAACTTGTATTATATCTTCTTGAAAAGAAATTATTTATGATAGTTAAAACAATCTCAACTTTAAGTTATTACTAACTAGGCTCATGTTGTCAGTTCCTTTAGTTATGGTGAGGAAAAAATGTTTTCTTCTTAATTAACATTTTAAAAGTGGGCCTAGGCCGGGTGGGGTAGTTCACAACTGCAATCCCAACACTTTGGGAGGCCGAGCTGGGAGGATCACTTGAGCCCAGAAGTTTGAGACTAGCCTGGGCAACACAGCAAGACTTTATCTCTTAAAAAAAAAAAAGGAAAAAAAAATGAATAAAAGCTGGGCGCGGTGGCTCACACCTGTAATCCCAGCATTTTGGGAGGCCAAGGTCAAGAGATCATGAGGTCAAGGGATTGAGACCATCCTGGCCAACATGGTGAAACCCCGTCTCTACTAAAAATACAAAAATTAGCCAGGTGTGGTGGTGTGCACCTGTAGTCCCAGCTCCTCAGGAGGCTGAGGCAGGAGAATCGCTTGAACCCAGGAGGTGGAGGCTGCAGTGAGCCAAGATCGCACCATTGCACTCCAGCCTGAGTGCTGGAGGAAGACAGAGGAAGACTCCATCTCAAAAACAAACAAACAAACAAACAAAACCATGGTGGCTTACCCACAATTGTAAAAGCCCTCTCTGGGCTTCACACTATGCCTATCTTGTTTCTGGTTTCTTCCTTCTAGTGCATCTTATGCCACCAACCTAACTGGCAAATTCATGATCACCTTGCTTGAGATCCTATAATCCCTAGTATCTCTTGGATCAAGGCCAATGTCTGCTATCTGACCTGTTTCTAACTTTACTCACTCCAATATACAGCCTCTAATCCCATTAGGCAAATATTTTCTTTTTTATTTATTTATTTATTTTTTTTTTAATTATACTTTAAATTTTAGGGTACATGTGCACATTGTGCAGGTTAGTTACATATGTATACATGTGCCATGCTGGTGCACTGCACCCACTAACTCGTCATCTAGCGTTAGGTATATCTCCCAATGCTATCCCTCTCCCCTCCCCCCACCCCACATAGGCAAATATTTTCTTTCACATGCTCTCCCTCATTCAAAACTATGGTAATTGTTTATTCAATGAATATTTCCTCCGGCCTTCTCAAAGTATAGTTCAAGTTGATTTAAGCCTTCCTTAGCATTGTGACTCTATAGACAATCCCCTGTGGGCCCCTGCACTACAGCTTAGGCCTCATGGCATTTTGTTATATATTCCTAAATAAACAACATATTCTTTAAGATTGGAGCCCTCATCTCATATGGTTCAATAGGCAAGTATCCCTTAAATAACGCTGCTATAAAATTTATTCTCAATTCCTATTTTTTGTTACTGACTACGGTTTACATATCAGTGTTTTTTATCTCAGGTTGATTCAACAAAAATTAAGTCATACATTTTTGTAATGAGGTATATACTCACATTTTGCATTGTTTTCTCAATAAGCGTATACAACAGTGGGCTGGCAGAAACCTTGAAGTTGCTGGTACCTGAAAATAAATTGTTTTATCATTGCCCCTTCTCCATTCCGATAATTTTCACACTGCTACTTCTACAACTATAAGTACTTGACAAATAAGACAGTAATCTAGATCAGTGGCCCTGTGCAACAACTATCCCATTCATCAAGTAAACAAAAGTAATTTTGGTATCAAGCTCTTTAGCAACTAAGCTAACTTCACTCAAGTGGGCTCGTACTACTCCTTGAGTTTGCATACTTTAATCCAAGTCACCTTTTTTAAAAATATCAGAGCAGTTAGGCCGGGCACGGTGGCTCACGCCTGTAATCCCAGGACTTTGGGAGGCCCAGACGGGTGGATCACAAGGTCAGGAGATCGAGACCATCTTGGCTGGCACAGTGAAACCCCGTCTCTACTAAAAATACAAAAAATTAGCCGGGTGTGGTGGCGGGCACCTGTAGTCCCAGCTACTCGGGAGGCTGAGGCAGGAGAATGGCATGAACCCGGGAGGCGGAGCTTGCAGTGAGCTGGGATGGCGCCACTGCACTCCAGCCTGGGTGACAAAGCGAGACTCCATCTCAAAAAAAAAAAAAAAAAAAAAAAAAAAAATCAGACCAGTTTTAGGTTCAGCAGCAAAATTAAGAGAAAGGTACCTAGAGGTCCCATAAATCCACTGCCCCCACACATGTGCAGCCTCCCCCATTAGCAATTTCATGTTTAACTTTCTGGTTCACCCAGGTTAGAGCTATACATAGTATGCTTGCTATACTCAGCACATTCTGCGGCAAACATACAACAGGGAAATAACTAACCTAGAGAGGTTTAATTGTAACTCTTTCCTTTTTTCCCCCATGTAGACATTTCACTATTCTCAGCTCATCAGCTACATCTGCACTTTCTTTTTTACCCCATTCCTGTTGAATGTACAGCTGCACTTTAAATAACATTCAAACCCTTTTGTCAATTTTCTGCTGCCAGTGAACATTCAAACTCTTCTAGAAGTTTCATTATCCAATATTTCTATCAGTGATGCCACAACGTAACAGGATGTGAATTACTCTCTAAGTACCATTCTATATGGCATAGTTTAGTTTCTTCTCACCTCAATATAGTCCAGACTTATGGTCCTAAAACTTTAGTCCATCAGAATTACCTGTAGTGCTTGTTAAAGTTTTTTGTTTCTTTGTTTGGGTTTTTTTGCTTCAGGATACTTTGTCCTTAAGAAAATAATAGGTTTTTATTCCCCAAGGGTTGCCAAAAAAAAAGCCCAGTTTTTTTGTTTGTTTTTTTGAGATGGAGTCTCGCTCTGTCGCCCAGGCTGGAGGGCAATGGCGCCATCTTGGCTCACTGCAACCTCTGCCTCCCGGGTTCAAGTGATTCTCCTACCTCAGCCTCCTGAGTAGCTGGGATTACAGGTACTCGCCACCACACCCGGCTAATTTTGGTATTTTTAGTAGAGACGGGGTTTCACCATGTTGGCCAGGCTGGTCTCGAACTCCTGACCTCAGGTGATCCGCCTGCCTTGGCCTCCCAAGTGCTGGGATTACAGGCGTGCACCACTGCGCCCAGCCCAAAAAGCCCAGTTTTTAGACCAACACTCCCATTTCTGACTCAAAGGTCTGGGGTAGACATGACAGTTTGCATTCGTAACAGTTCCTAATGCTACTCATCTGGGGGCCACACTGAGAACTACCCACTGTTCTAGACAAGCAATTGTGCTCACTGTGTAACTTGACAGACTATTTAAAGGAAGGTTAAGATACAGGCTGAGGGCAATGGCTCATGCCTGTAACCGCAGCATTTTGGGCAGCTGACATAGAATGCTTGAACTCAGGAGTTTGACACCAGCCTGGGCAACATGGCAAAACCCCATCTCTACAAAAAAAATTAGCCAGGTGGCTGAAGTGGGAGGATCACCTGAGCCCAGGAGGTCAAGGCTGCAGTGAGCCAAGATTGTGCCACTGCACTCTAGCCTGGGCAATACAGTGAGACCCTGTCTCAAAAAAAAAAAAAAGCTTTCTTCCACTTCAAAGTAGTTTATCTGGCCAGGCACAGTGGCCCACATCTGTAATCCCAGGCCGAGGCAGGCAGATCGCCTGAGGTCAGGAGTTCGAGACCATCCTGGCCAACATAGTGAAGCCCTGTCTCTACTAAAAATACAAAAAATTAGCTGGGTGTGGTAGTGAGCACCTGTAATCCCAGCTACTCAGGAGGCTAAGGCAGGAGAATCGCTTGAATCTGGGAGACAGAGGTTGCAGTGAGCCGAGATCGTGCCATTGCACTCCAGCCTGGGCGACAAGAGCAAAACTCCATCTCAAAAAAGTTTACCTGAATTCATACACAGCTAATGAAAGGGATACTTACCAAGAACCGCTTTATCCAGATTAATATAAGTGAAAGCCTTTAAATGCAGGGACGAAAGGTATCCCTAGAAGAGAAGGGAAAACACTAATAAGTATAAATCTGTTTATTTATCACATACAGTAGCATTAGGGATTCATTTTCAATTCTGGACTCTACTGAGACTAAACGCAAAGGCAAAAGTGGTAAAATCAAACCTATAAAAACATCACTTCTGGACAACAGCCTAAGCCCACAAGCTCGTGTCCAATATGGGAAGGGATGATAAAGAATACCTCTAGCCATTCAGTGGCACCAACCGATCCAAAGTCTCCAGCACTCCAACTGGCAAAGATAATGCTTCTGCTGGGCTGAAACCCATCTGAAAGAGAAAAAAGTTAGCTTTACCTGAGGAAAGGTTATACACAGACAAGGATGGAAGGTATCCCACTTAAGATGAATCAGAAGGTCTAATTCCAAGATAGCAGATTCCAAAATCTTTTTTTTCTGAGCCAAAAAAGAAAAAAAAAACTAACAAAATCTTTTTTTGAGACCCCAGGTAAAAGAATAAAAGAATAGGAATAATTTTTTTTAAAGTAACCTACAAAGAGCAAGATAGGAGATCTGCAAATAAGATTTTGAGTACATAGCAGGGGCCAGTAGTCACCCTTTCACAATTTCATTCTTGGAGTTCCTTAACTTCTGGACCCAGAGATCATTGAAAACAGTGTAAGCATGATGATGCACATCTTGAGAAAAATCTTCAGAGGTAAATCCAAACATTGGATTTTTAAAAAAATAATTCTAAAATAAAATAAAAATTCACAAATTTAAGTTACAAGAAGAGTTTGCAGAGAAACTATATTTGTGACAGCACCTTTTGAGGTTACATGTATCACACTGCCC
This sequence comes from Homo sapiens, assembly GCF_000001405.40. Lineage (NCBI taxonomy): Eukaryota > Metazoa > Chordata > Mammalia > Primates > Hominidae > Homo > Homo sapiens. The sequence continues at coordinate 196,063,464 of NC_000003.12, forward strand.
TCCATCCCTCCCACTTCCCTCACTGTATCTTTTTCTCCATTAATGTACTCTGTATTAAAGTTAAGCATTGCAGTTTGCCCTAAGACCCAAAGATTCAAGAATGTGACGTGATTTTGAATGTGTGGGTGGGTAGGAGTGTGAAAGAGTGGAAAGTAGGACAGAAAGGCTCAAAAATAAACAAAAGAGGCAGGGCACGGTGGCTCACTAGCAGCATTTTGGGAGGCTGAGGCGGGTGAATCACTTGAGGTCAGGAGACTAGCCTGGCCAACATGGCGAAACCCTGTCTCTAGTAAAAATACAAAAATTGGCCGGGTGTGGTTGTGGGTGCCTGTAATCCCAGCTACTCAGGAGGCTGAGGCAGGAGAATTGCTTGAAGTCGGGAGGCAGAGGTTGCAGTGAGCTAAGTGAGATCACACCACTGCACTCCAGCCTGGGCAACAGAGTGAAACTCTGTCTCAAAAAATGAATAAATGAATAAACAGAACAAAATTTCAATAGCTGTTAGGCCTCAGTACATGAGTAGAGAGGTATGCTACTGCTTTCAAATAGATTGCTTAGGGACTATGATCCACCTTATCACTCTGGATCCACCACACTAAGCACTAGGGCTCAGTAACTCCACTGTCTCAAAGAAACTGGTGATTTCTAGCACAGTTAAGACACTTTATGGAAAGCTGTTTCAAAGGAAAAGGCAGCTACAACAAAAGACAATCTGCCTTGTATTTAAGAACTAGAGTCTAGCATGAGAACCACAGGAATGCAGGCAAAGTGAGCAAAGCACAGTATAACATCTAGAACTGTATGCAGTGCACCAATATTCAAAAGAATCAAAATTTGTACTCTACCTTTTAAGACCATATCTGAGAACATCTGGGCAAGTTTCAATAGGAGAGCTGTGCCTACACCGGATTTTGCAGCTCCAGGGCCCCATGCATCTCTCTGGGCCCCAACTACAACATAGTGATCTTTAAAAAAGAAAAAAGAGGAAGAAAGAACTTATATAATCAGCTTCTAAACTTTTCTAGAATTAGCACATCAGTAGAAAGGTAAAAGCACAGTATATGTATTAAGGATAAAAGAGCCTTACTTCAAATCTGACTAAAAACTCTGGGAATTAAAAATTCACATGAGAATATTAATTTTACCTTACTAGTAGAGCTACTTTTTTCCTACACTACTAATTAAATTTACTGACTACTTAAGTCCAAGGACTTATTTCTTAGTAAGTGTTGGCTGTTTGATTGCATTTAAAGTTAACTCCAGGGACTGGCAAACTACAGCCCGCATGCCCATTCACTACGCACAGTCTGTGCCTGTTTTCTTGCTCCCACAGAGTTGAACAGCTAAAAGAGAGACTGTATAGCCTGGCAAAAGGTTTATTATCTGCCCCCTTAAGAAATTTGCTTATCACTGGTCTAGTCAATAACTTAGAATAGATTTTCTAGTCATAATGGTCAATTTTTAACAAGAATTTCCTAGGGCCTTATTACCTCCCAATAAAACTGACACATAGGCTGGGCGCGGTGGCTCATGCCTGTAATCCCAGCACTTTGGGAGGCTGAGGGAGGCAGATCACCTGAGGTCAGGAGCTCTGACCTCATGGAGCCTGACCAACATGGAGAAACCCTGTCTCTACTAAAAATACAAAATTAGCCAGGCGTGGTGGCGCATGCCTGTAATCCCAGCTACTGGGGAGGCTGAGGCAGGAGAATGGCTTGAACCTGGGAGGCGGAAATTGCAGTGAGCCGAGATCACACCACTGCACTCCAGCCTGGGCAACAAGAGTGAAACTCTTTCTCAAAAAAAAAAAAAAGAAACTAACACATAAACAATTAACTTTAGGACAGACAAGATTGAGCACTTCATAAAACCAAGCCAAGCCAGCATTCCTACACTCGCTCCTTCTCTAGCCACATCCTTAGGAACAGAAAAGAAAACAAAAAAAAAGCGGGGCGGGGGGGGGGGGGGGCGGTCTTTACCTGGTTCTACAAAGCCTTTAATAACTCCAAAGATGTTAAGAATTTTTATCTCTTTCAGCACATTGCTCACAGTGAGCTTCACATTCTTGCTTTCTGAGGTTACCATCCTACATGTAGAGTCTGTTTTCCAGTCAGAGGGACAGTCTCCTTCCATATTCCTAGAATCAGAAAGCAGGCGTAAGTTCTGAGTTATTGTTCCTTGCCCAGGGTTTACTCCTGTCCAGTGAAGTTACAGATTAAGAGGACATATAAACAAAACTTACTCTCAGCCCGGCGAAGTGGCTCACCCCTGTAATCCCAGCACTTTGGGAGGCTGAGGCAGGTGGATCACAAGGTCAGGAGTTCAAGACCAGCCTGACCGACATGGTGAAACCCCGACTCTACTAAAAATACAAAAATTAACTGGGCATGGTGGCATGCGCCTGTAATCCCAGCTACTAAGGAGGATGAGGAGGAGAATCGCTTGAACCTGGGAGGCGGAGGCTGCAGTGAGCCGAGATCACGCCACTGCACTCCAGCCTGGGCAACAGAGCACAAGTCCTGTCTCAAAAAAAAACAAAACAAAACAAAACAAAATAAAAACAAAAAAAAACTTACTCTCTAGTGGTGAACCATTTGCGTCTTACTTTGATCTGCAGGCAGCCAATTGGAAACCATTAATTAAGCAATATTTTAAAACACTTCTCTAACTATGCGCCTTTCTGCCAGACATACTTACGTAGTTTATATTTGGAATACATACCAAGATGGACTCAAAATGAAGTTCTTCTAATATATAAAAGAATATTAATACACTTTTATGTTTCCCAACTGTCACCACTAACAAGGATAGTACACATTCTTAGCTCAGTTATAAAAAATATTCCTCAGCTGGGTGCGGTGGCTCACGCCTGTAATCCCAGCACTTTGGAAGGCCGAGGCAGAATTCCTTGAACCCAGGAGGTGGAGGTTGCAGTGAGCCAGGATCATGCCACTGCACTCCTGCCTGGGCAACAGAGTGAGACTGTCAAAATAAAAAAAAAATCTTGTGCTTCCCCTATCTAATTCCTCTGTGTTACCCAAATAATAGCTGCTCCTAAGGGGGCTTACTTACATAAATATAGGTTGAAACATTATTACTCCCCTACTACATAAGGATAAGATGGGACGCTGGCTTCACAGGTTGGTTACGATTTGTAGGTGGTAGGTAGAATGAGTCAAAAAAATCACCTATGCTAAATGCCTCTTAGCGTTATCAATAGTCATGGTATGTTACACACTCCCCTATGCTAAAGGCCTCTCAGCATGATCAACAGTCATGGTATTTCATATACTCCTTATATACAGATGTTCTTCATTTGAGACTATCAAGTAGAATATATTTTCACTATCCAATTATGTTAAAGAAACAGGATCAGAGAACCTATGTCATACAGGAGATAAATGCTTTCATAAAGGCCTGAAACTAGATCTCCATCCTGTAATAACAGGAAATGATAAATATGTCCACATCCAAATCAAAATTAATGCTACGTACTCTAATGGAACTGGGCTCTGTTTTTAAAGAGAGACACTAACGTTACAGGGAGGATATCCAGAGGAGCGAGCCACAACCATAAATGGTTTCTCTGGAAACCATCATAAGAAGCAAGGCTTCTCAATCTATAGACAAGGTAACTGGAATCATACCGTATTGCTTAGAAGAAAAATCCAGACAAATGGATGTTTCGGGGAATAGGATTTTATCCCAATATGAATTCTAACAGATTCTCTCTACTAACTGAATGGGCTGCTATAGGCATCGTGCTTCAGCACAGAAGTACTTGAGCAGAAGCTATGCCAGGAATCTTGCACAAGGAATTCACTGGGTTTATAAGTCTCCTTATTCTCCTGTGTTTATAAGTCCAAAGTCCATTATTAAGATCTCTTTATAGAGAAAAATTCATTTATATCTGTACCAAGGTAACAGCTAACCATCCTCCAAATTCCCAAATGTGGAAAATTATCATCATGTTTAACATTTTAATCAACATATTACCGTTCTTCCCTAATCATAAAACCTCACTATGCAAGACCGCTTTCAAATAAAAACTTACCCAAACAGCTTTTCTGCAGCAGCTCTGGAGATTGTCTGGACAGGTATATTAGGCAATCCTGATGACCGAGATGGTGGAAACTGAGTGTGATTGAAGGAAGGGAATCCAGGTGTGTAAGGGTCACCTGTCCCCAGATGAGCCTAGGAAAACAAAAGAGCAATTCACTCCATCACATACTTCCTCAAAACTTCTCTGTAAGATTCAGGTTTGGTATAAGGCTGCAGCCCAACCTTAGTTTACCAACTTGAAGCCTCAAAAATCTGAGTGGCTCTACAATGTGACTCCTGTTTTCATGGCATATGGAAATTCTCAAATTCAAGGCACTATTGACAAAGTACTTTTAGCAACAAATAATAAAGCCTCAAAGTCAATGTAATCTATCTTCTTGCTTACTGCTAACGCCCTCCCAGAAAAAAGAGCAGTTAAGGAAGACACAGTGCTATTTCTGCTAATACAGGAATCCAAGAACAACTCAAGGAACTCAAAACGGTGATTTACTCAAGAAATAACTCACATGTCCAAAGAATGAAAGTTCTGCGTTAACAATGGGAAATTTAGTCTGGTCCATGTATATCAACACACCAATTGCATTTAAGCTTTCAGCATTTGCAACCTAAAAGAAAACATATAAAGCTCAGAAAATGAAGATCTGATCATACGAAATGAGAATACATCCTGGACATTATGCTAAAGGCCAAATGGTTACAGAGGACTAAACTTATAATACTTCCAAATATTTCAAATTGTTTATCTGGTAATTTATTAATTGCTTCCTGAAAAATTAACTCACTTGTTTGCAAAATAAGAGTAACGGGCCAGGAGTGGTGGCTCACGCCTGTAATCCCAACACCTTGCAAGGCTGAGGCAGGGGGATCACAAGCTCAGGAGTTCGAGACCAGCCTGGCCAACATGGTGAAACCCTGTCTCTACTAAAAATACAAAAATTAACTGGGCGCAGTGGCTGGCGCCTGTATTCCCAGCTATTTGGGAAGCTGAGGCAGGAGAATCGCTTGAAACCATAAGGCAGAGGTTGCAGTGAGCCAAAATTGCGCCACTGCACTCCAGCCTGGACAAAAGAGCAAAACTCCCTCTCAAAAAAAAAAAAAAAAAAAAAAAAAGAATAACAAAGGCCAGGAGTGGTGGCTCACACCTGTAATCCCAGCAATCTGGGAGGCCAAGGCAGGTGGATCACCTGACGTCAGGAGTTCAAGACCAGCCAGGCCAACGTCGTGAAACCCTGTCTCTACTAAAAATGCAAAAATTAGCCAGGCATGGTGGTGGTGGGCACCTGTAATCCCAGCTACTCAGAAGGCTGAGGCAGGAGCATCACTTGAACCTGGGAGGCGGAGGTTGCAGTGAGCTGAGATCACGCCACTGCACTCCAGCCAGGGTGACAAGAGACTCCGTCTCAAAAAAAAAAAAAAAAAAGAAAAGAAAAATAACAAAAACCCATCTAAGACAACCACTTTTTTGAGTCTCACTGTCACTCAGGCTGGAGTGGCACGAGTCACATCTCACAACCTCCAGGGCTCAAGCAGTCCTCCCACCTCAGCCTCCTAAAGTGTTGGGATTACAGGTGTGAGCCCTGCCACTTTTTTTAAAAATGCAGAAATCACCACTGTCTTTTGATATGTTCCACTCTAGTTCCTTGTGTATGTTTGGCTATTAATTTTCCTTTTTATAAAACATGCTTTTAGCTGAATTCTGTATATGCGTAAAACTGAGTTATACAGAGAAATAGCTTTCACTTAAGCACTTCTGATTAGGTAAGTGGAACTTACTTCATTTGTTGAGCATTTTAATAAATTATATTATCTGGTATGAGAGTTTAAGATTGCTGATTTTCAGAATGTAAGAATATTAACAAGAAATATCACTTACCTGAAGAGTAAGATACCAAAAGTACTGTATTTAATATTATAATAACTCATACTCACCTTTTCTGCAAAGGTGATTTTCCCTGCTCTGACAATCACTATAGATCCATTCACAGGAGTGTATAAATCCTCAAAATCTTTTTTAGTACCAAAATTAGCATGGACCAGTTTACCCTAGAACAAAGACATTAGATTTAATGAGCATTATGGTATCGGAACAGCTCTAAAATCTTGAGACAGAAGAGTGTTATAGATCAAACCTAAGACAGGCAACCCAAGTAAGAGATAAAAGGAGGCCAAGGCCTAAAAAAGACATGAGTTCTAAAAAACTTTACAACTTTTAGGTCAGAGCTATTGGAATAAAATCAAGATTTTTGGCCTCCTATGTCTTTCATGCTTTTATCCCATGCTGCCTTTCATCTGAAGGGCATTTAGATTAAAGAGGCCTATGTAGGCTGGTCATGGGACTGGAGGCCTGGAACAATCTTAGCCTTGAGGACATCATAGAAATAGGTTTTAACTGAAAGGTCTGATAATAAATCTGTCCCAAAATTAAAACACCATCTATTACAACAAAGTGACTTGCATACACCAACTTTAGATGTGTCATGATGTTCCTAAGCTCATAAGAGTCCAGATGAACAGCCATAAACTGACACTAACAACCAAGCCCTCAATACAGAAAGCTTGAAGTTGAACAAAAATCTTCAATGTTCTTTAACAGAACAACCTACCCATCTCTAAACTCCTGGCTTATAGGCAGCCAGGCAAAGGGATAAAGCACAAGTATCCAGAAAGGCAAGGAATCAACACAGAACTGCACCAGCCCCGAAAGGTATCCACTAGAGATACGCCTGACTTACAAATGTGATTTTTTTTTTTTTTTTGAGATGGAATTTCGCTTTTGTTGCTCAGGCTGGAGTGCAATGGCGCAATATCCGCTCACTGCAACCTCCACCTCCTGGCTTCAAGCGATTCTCCTGCCCCAGCCTCCCAAGTAGCTGGGATTACAGGCACCCACCACCACGCCTGGCTAATTTTTGTATTTTTAATAGAGTTCACCATGTTGGCCAGGCTGGTAGCTCTGACCTTAGGTGATCCACCCACCTTGGACTCCCAAAGTGCTGGGATTACAGGCGTGAGCCACCACGCCCAGCCACAAATGTGATTTTTAAGCTGAAAATTATTCTATCTATCTGTTCTCTATTTCTGTGTTAATTTGACTATATTTGCCTAAATTTAAAAAGATCAAGGGCTGGGCGAAGCAGCTTCCTCCTGTAATCCCAGCACTTTGGGAGGCTGAGGGTGGTGAATCACCTGAGCCCAGGAGTTTCAATTGAAGACCAGCCTGGCCAACATGGCAAAACCCTGTCTCTACCAAATAATAATAATAATAATAATAATAATAATAATAAAATAAAAAATAAAAATTAACTGGACATCTCAGCTACTCAAGAGGCTCACTTGAGCCTGGGTGGTGGTGGAGAATGCAGTGAGCCAAGCTCACGCCACTGCACTCCAGCTAGGGCAACAGAGTGACACCCTGTCTCAAAACAAAAATAGAAAAAGATCAAGCATTAACGAATCAAGCTAAGACTAGGCCCCAGCCAAGATGGATATTTACATCTGTCCCCACAGGGAGGATATGCATTTGTTTAGCAAATACTACTATGTATGTCAGGCATTCTCCAAAGCTCTGCAACATGGCAGTAAATAGAACTAACCCATGATTCTTCATCTGGCTCACATTCTAATGGAAACAAAGGCATAGATAATGTCAGCTGCTAGCAGTACTATAAAGAAAAAATAAAACAGGACATGGGGAAAGTGATTAGAGAGAGAAGACAATGCATGTTGACTGTGTCATTAGAGGGTTGAAAACCAAAATATCTCATGATCATTTACATTTTACAGGTAAATTTATAACTCCTAAGAACAGAAAAGATGAGTTTTGAATGATTCAATAGGGAAGAGTCTCATGCACTGTTTTGCTTTACTTACAGTAACTGTTGCAGCCTTACTATACGCCACATAACCCCCAGGATTCTCCACCAGGTAAACAAGTCTACCGTTCTTATCAACTATGATCACCGAGTTTTGAGCGCTGTTAAAAAGATTAAGTTAAAATAAGCCTAAGGTCATCCTTCCAAAAAACACAATAGCTTACATTTAGTATGTCTTGCATTATTTGGCTTGAGGAAATTTACCTCTAAATCTTAAGCTTGATTTTTATTTTAAAAGCCTTTGGGCCGCATGCGGTGGCTCACGCCTGTAATCCCAGCACTTTGGGAGGCCCAGGCGGGCTGATCACCTGAGGTCAAAAGTTCGAGACCATCCCACCTCTACTAAAAATACAAAAATTAGCTGGGCGTGGTGGCGTGCGCCTGTAATCCCAGCTGCTCTGGAGGCTAAGGCAGGAGAATCACTTGAACCCAGAAGGCAAAGGCTGCAGTGAGCAGAGATTGTGCCACTGCACTCCAGCCTGGGCAACAGAGCGAGACTCCATTTCAAAAAAAAGCCAACAACACTAACAAAAAGTCTTTGCTATATTTAGCACACCTGAAAATAGCTACTTGTATAAAAATAAGTTTACCATCTTTCAACATACCTGTCTTTGACCTGAATCTTAACAAAATGTTGATCACGCCAGACTTTGCTGAGTTTAAATTCACGAAATTGATTTTCAACATACAACGCAAGATTTTCATCTTTTTGAGATCCAGCCTCACGAGGGACATATGAATTTTCATTCAGCAGCCTGGAGGAGAAAATGCCTTTTAAATGAACTTAAGTTTACTTTAAAATAAACATTTAAGTCAAGGATTAAACAAATTGTTTTGAAAGCAAAATATTATCCCTCATAGTTCAGATAAATGAACTGTGACCCAAAACTTCTAGACTGACCAGAATATCACAAAAGAAAAAAAATTTTGCCCCAAATCTTGTAACTTCAAAGCTTCTTTACCCACTACAAAGCACTCCTTCAAGAGCCTCATCATAACACAATGTATCTGCTTAGGATAGTTTTAGGGGAAATGAGTAGCTTCCAGATCTACTATAAAATCTAAGATAGTAATACTGTGCTGAACAGAGTGCATAGTTTCAATTCTCACCTACTTGTGAAGCATCTGAATACCCTGAAGCAGAACTGCTCCTTGGTCCGATCTCCCATACTTCTTTCTATTTACTCAGCATATTAGTTCTTACATTTTTGTGGGGTGGACTATACTCTCACTTTAACCATAAGGTCTGGTGTACAGTAAATAAACACAAAAGCATCAACTAGATGAAGTAGAAAATGCCATAACTTAAGACTAAAGAATTATAGTACCACTGTAAGTGTAGGAAGCTTGCAAAAAGGAAAAGATAAATTTATTCTTTGCACAGAGGCATGTATGTGCAAAGATAGTAAAACTCTATGGACAAGTGTTACAGCTCTTTTAGAATTTGTCTAGCATGCTTTCTAGTTTTTGCCAGAAAGCCCATTACAAATAAAATAAATAAATAAATATAAAATAGAAATTTGGCCAGGTGCAGTGCCTCATCCTGTAATTCCAGCACTTTGGGAGCCAAGACAGGAGGATCATCTGAGGTCAGGAGTTAGACACCAGCCTGGCCAACATGGTGAAATCCCGTTTCTGCAAAAAAAAAAAAAAAAAAAAAAAACCCACAAAAATTAGCAGAGCATGGTGGTACAAGCCTGTGATCTCAGCTACTCAGGAGACTGAGGTAGGAGAATTGCTTAAACCTGGGAGACAGAGGTTGCACTGAGCTGAAATCGTGCCACTGCACTCCAGCCTGGGCAACACGTAAGACTCCATCTCAAAATAAATAAGTAAATAAATAAAAATCTAAGAACAGACCGGCCTGGGAGACATGGTGAGACTCCATCTCTTAAAAAAAAAAAAAAAAAAATTAGCTGGGTGTGGTGCTGCGTGCTTATAGTCCCAGCTACTCAGGAGGCTATGGTAGGGGGATGAAGCTGCGGTGAGATGAGAGCACGCCACCGTATTCCAGCCTCCACCAGAGGGAGACATTGTCTCTGGATACTGACTGGCCTAGGGGTTAATGGGTGAGTATCACAGAAATTAAGAAGCACTAGAGACTTAAGGCAGGCAGTTACCCATGATCAAGGAGATGAAAAAGGCTACTTCTGGCATGTGTTGCTTCCTAAAACAGAGAAAAGCTACTGATGTCCTTGTCAGCAAAGCAGAGCTTAGTACAACGTTACAAGAGGTTAAGAAGAAAAATCAGAGCCAGAGAATGACAGCAAGCAATAAGCTACAAAGATGGGGAAAACATCAAGGGCCTATTAATTTTTTAAGAAAAAGGAGACTCCCCAGAGAAGTTCTACCTTTTCCCCTACCAGTATAGTTTCAGTTTTTTACAGGCCCCTTCCCCTCTTTAGCTAAACATGACAAGTCTTGTCTTCTCTAACAAGCCATTCCCCACAGTGTCACCATTATTGTTTCCCCGTGGCCTATCATAATTCTTGAATTACTTGTCTAGATACTTGCACAGCAGCTGGCACTCACTTGATGGTGCCGGTGAAGTCTGTGCTGTCCAGTTTCTCCGACAACTTTCTCTTCAGGTCATCCCAATATAAGCGACGTGCTGCAGGGAAGTCCTCTCCTGGCTCCTCCCTCACTGGAGACTCGGTTCCTGCCAGTCTCTCACACTCAGTTTTTGGTTCTACCCCTTTACAATAGCCCAAGTAGCCAATCATAAATCCTAAAGAGACAAAGTTCCAGAGCTGAACTCAGAATTTCATTTGTAATCTATCCCTGTTAATCTGTTAATATTTTCAGGTAAGCCTTGAAAATACTGGTTTTCATCAAATTCTAAGTAGTTTTAAAGTATATAATGCATCTCAGTTTTGTATACTTTAAACCACTTAATAAATTATATACTAGCTTTATTTCAAATAGCTACCTATTCAAAACATAGGTAGTTTTTTCCAAAAGACCCCCTTGAAACATGAGACTGAGCTGCTGCACCGCCAGTGTCCTGCGGATATTTTCTAGCGTAGCATTTGCTTCCTGGTGGAGTGGGAGCAAACAAAAAAATACATAAATAAAAAGAAAACACTTGCACGTCGTATTGAAATAATTCATGGGTCTCTCTTTCCAACCAGATTAAATTCAATGACAGGTATAGAATCTACTCATGATTGTCTTCCTAGTGGCACTTAAAAAGGCATAAAGTGGACGGGAAAGTGGCTCATGCCTGTAATCCCAGCACTCTGGGAGGCTGAGGCGGGCAGATCACGAGGTCAGGAGTTAGAGACCAGCCTGACCAACATGGTGAAACCCCGTCTCTACTAAAAATACAAAAATTAGCCAGGTGTGGTGGTGCACGCCTGTAGTCCCAGCTCCTCAGGAGGCTGAGGCAGAAGAATCGCTTGAACCTGGGAGGCGGAGATTGCAGTGAGCCGAAATCACGCCACTGCACTCCAGCCTGAGCCACAGAGTGAGACTCCAACTCAAAAAAAAAAAAAAAAAAATTAGCCAGGTGTGGTCGTGGGCGCCTATAGTCCCAGCTACTCAGGAGGCTAAGGCAGAGAATCGCTTAAACCTGGGAGGCTGAGGTTGCAGTGAGCCAACATGGTGCCACTGCACTCTAGCCTAGGCAAGAGAGTAAGCCTCTGTCTCCAAAAAAAAAAAAAAAAAAAATAAGGTACAAAATAACTATATGCTGAGCTGACATAACAGACTTCCCAGAGTTGGTTATAGAAAACATTGAAGTTTGGAATGGTCATTCTCACCAATCAAGAAAAAGACGATCACAGCAATAGTCCCATAGCAGATACTTCCACTACACCTTTTTGGTTTTGTGACATTGGCCTTTGTGTTATTGTCAGCATTTTCTTCTTCATCTACAGCAAGTTTCATCTCCACATGACTGTTATCGCCATCTACTTGCCGAGCCAGGCTGAACCGGGTATATGACAATGGTTCTCCACCAAACTGTGTTGCGGAAAAAGGCATGATGAAGAACAGGCACGGGAATGTTTAGGAAAAGCTCGTTTAGGTATATGCTTGTTATTGGGCCATTACTATAACTTGCTATATATTCCTTAGGGTGTTCTCCTTTCAAACCAACATTCTTCCCTGGGCCCAGTCAAGGGCTAGTTCACACTGGTCTTCTCAGTCAGTCTCTCCCTTTTTGTAAATTTTTTTTTTTTTTTGAGACAAGGTCTCCCTCTCTCTCCCAGGATGGAGTACAGTGGTGTGATCACAGCTCACTGCAGCCTCAAAATCCTGGGCTCTACTGATTCCCCCACCTCAGCCTCCTGAGTAGCTGGGACTAGGGGCACAAATCAGTTCAGGATACTATGCAGTAACCCAGACCATGATGTTGGTGGGAGCAAGGGAGCAAGAATAAAACAAAGTTATAAATAAGCAGAAATTCTGACTAAGCATAAGATAGAAGACAGAAAAGAGAGAATAGACCAGACACAGTGGCTCATGCCTGTAATCCCAGCACTCTGGGGGGGGCCGAGGCACACAGATCATTTATGGTCAGAAGTTTGAGACAAGCCTGACCAACATGGTGAAATCCCCTCTCACTAAAAATTCAAAAAAAAAAAAACCACTAGCTGGGCATGGTGTCGCACGCCTGTAATCTCAGCCACCCAGGAGGCTGAGGCAGGAGAATCGCTTGAACTCAGGAGGCGGAGGTTACAGTGAGCTAAGATTGCACACTGCATTCCAACCTGGGCAACAGAGCCCAGGCTGAGACTCCATCTCAAAAAATAAAATAAAAATAAATAAATAAATAAATACAAATAAGAGAGAATTGAGGTCTAGACAGAGTGTTAAGAGTTAGGCTCCTTCTCGTCATGGCCTGGATGGCTGTTTTTTTTGTATGTTCTTTCAGCTTTCACTCATACTGTCTACTCAATGTTTCTTAAAATTTCATTTTTTTTTTAATAGAGATGGGCTTGCTATGTTGCCCAGGCAAGTCTCAAACTCCTCAAGTGATCCTCCTGCCTCACCTCCCAAACTGCTGGGATTGCGGGAGTGAGCCACCACACTTGGCCTCATTCAGCCTTTGCTTTTTTTTTTTTTTTTGAGACGGAGTCTCACTCTGTTGCCCAGGCTGGAGTGCAATGGCGTGATCTCAGCTCATTGCAACCTCCGCCTCCCGGGTTCAAGCAATTCTCCTGCCTCAGCCTCCCAAGTAGCTGGGACTACAGGCATGCGCCATGACACTCAGCTAATTTTTTTTTTTTTTGTATTTTTAGTAGAGACCGAGTTTCACCATGTTGGTCAGGCTGGTCTTGAACTCCTGACCACAGGTGATCCACCCACCTCAGCCTCCCAAAGTGCTGGGATTACAGGCGTGAGCCACAGCGCCCCGCAAGCCTTTGCTTTTTACTTCTCCTACTAAAACATTTTGATCAGGGCTTTAATTCGTCTTATCTACTAAGCTGTCCCCGTCTACCACACCCAGAACCACTCTGAGAATTCTTCCAAGACTTTCCATAATTAACCCTACTGAAGGCTGAACTCTTTGTGAGATCAGTTATGCCTCAAGACTACCAATTCAAATGTAAATGAATACCTGATAATAGATTGGGGTTATTATTTCATGCTTACTCAGTTAAAGTCATGCTTGTATATTTCACATTCTTGCAGACACAGAAATACAACTGAAAATATCTTACCAAGTTAGAGAATGCTGATCTAGCTTGATCCATCATTCTGAACTGCCACACAGAAGAACCTAGGTATCAGAATAGAGAATTATTGAGAAAGATACTACTGTATCAGATTAGTGAGCTTTCTATTACCAGGCTAAATGATACATTAAATTTTTAAAATACATTATCACTTTTCTAGAAAAGGTATTTAACCATAGTTTACATGACAACTAAATTAAGTGGGATCCTTTTTAAAGTTTGTTATATACATAATTCTTTTTTTTTCTTTTTGTAGAGACAAGGTCACCCTATGTTGCCCAGGCTGGTCTTGAACTCCTGGCCTCAAACAATCCTCCCACCTTGGCCTCCCAAAGTGCTGCAATTATAAGTACGAACCACTATGTTCTGAGTAGACAAAAGTGACACATACTGCTGGGCGGGGTGGCTCACACCTGTAATCCTAGCACTTTGGGAGGCTGAGATGGGTGGATCACCTGAGGTCAGGAGTTCAAGACCAGCCTGGCCAACATGGAGAAACCCTGTCTCTACTAAAAATACAAAAATTAGCCGGACGTGGTGGTGGGCGCCTGTAATCCCAGCCACTCGGGAGCCTGAGGCAGGAGAATGGCGTGAACCCAGGAGGTGGAGCTTGCAGTGAGCCAAGATCGCGCCACTGCACTCCAGCCTGGAAAACAAGAGCAAAACTCTGTCTCAAAAAAAAAAGAAAGTGACACATACAAAAAGACAAAATTAAGACTAAGGCAGACAAGACCAGTTATGCTACAAATACCACAAACCATCTCCAATGGGAAGGGGAAGAAATACTGATCCTGACTGAATGAATAGTTCCTACAAGTGATTCGATCTTTGACACAAGAAGAAACATGAAACACAGATTACGCTGTTTTACAGATGAAGAGGCCAGTTATTAGAGAAACTAAGTGGCCTGTTCAAGGCTGAAAATTGATAATCTAAGCGAAGTTAAATGGGTTACTGGGTTATAGAAATTGTGTTATCATCTCTGGAAATTTAAGACATTAACCTTAACTTTTGTCAAAGCAAAATACATCTCTGTAATCAAAGTCCTAAGTTAAGTTAAAGGCCTTAACTGAAATCTGAATTTTCCAGTTAATTTGGTTTGAGGGCATCTAGATACTTGAAAATGACATTATCCTGAGATTTGCAAAATGGACATTTATTGGATACCATTTTAAAGCTTTTCCTATATACGAGTACACTTAGGGCATATTAAACACACACGGCACAAAGCAAGCTGTGAGGTATACGCAAATTGTAAAGCAAAGGGTATTATAACTGGCATTAAGAAAAAGCTTTCTGGCCAGGCACGGTGGCTCATGCCTGTAATCCCAACACTTTGGGAGGCCGAGGCAGGTGGATCACGAGGTCAGGAGTTTGAGACCAGCCTGGCCAAGGTGGTGAAACCCCATCTCTACTAAAAATACAAAAATTAGATGGGCGTGGTGGTGGGCACCTGTAATCCCAGCTACTGGGGAGGCTGAGGCAGGAGAATCGCTTGAACCCGGGAGGTGGAGGTTGCAGTGAGCCGAGATGGCACCACTGCACTCCAGCCTGGGTGACGGAGTGAAACTCCATCTCAAAAAAATAATAAAAAAGAAAAAGAAAAAGCTCTAAAACCTATTACAAAAAATTCTTTTTAAATTCAAGCTTTAAAAACCAGTGTCCATATGCAATAGACCATATTCTTAGAAGCATAATCTTTTTTTTTTTCTTGAGACAGAGTTTCGGTCTTGTTGCCTAGGCTGGAGTGCAATGGCAGGATCTCGGCTCACTGCAACCTCCCCCTCCCGGGTTCAAGCCATTTTCCCACCTCAGACTCCGAGTAGCTGGGATTACAGGTGCCCACCACCATGCCCAGCTAATTTTTGTATTTTTAGTAGAGACGGGATTTTACCACGTTGGCCAGGCTGGTCTGGAACTTCTGACCTAGGGTGATCCACCCACCTGGCCTCCCAAAGTGCTAAGATTAGTTACTTGATAAGAACATCCCAAGGAAATCGAAGGCGTGAGCCACTGCGCCCAGCCAGAAGCACAATCTTTTGCCCCTTCTGTTACAAAAAGCTTATCACTACCACTCCACCAGAACAGTAAGGACCCAATCATTAGAGCCAGAACTGGAAGGCCCCACCCTGAACCAATTTTAATCATCCTTTTCTAGGAAAAAACATCTTGCAAGTTTTAACACTCATCTGAACCATCATTCCTCAAGTTTTCTTGTTTTAAATTAATTTTAAGAACACAAAGCGATGGCCGGGCATGGTGGCTCACGCCTGTAATCCCAGCAACACTTTGGGAGGCCGAGGCGAGCAGATCACCTGAGGTTGAGAGTTTGAGACTAGCCTGACCAAACATGGAGAAATCCCATCTCTACCAAAAAAATACAAAATTAGCCGGGCATGGTGGCGCATGCCTGTAATCCCAGCTACTGGGGAGGCTGAGGCAGGAGAATCACTTGAACCTGGGGGAGGTGGAGGTTGCAGGGAGCCGAGATCACACCATTGCACTACAGCCTGGGCAACAAGCGTGAAACTCTGTCAAAAATAAATAAATAAATAATAATCTAAGCTACTTGTGTTATCTTTGGTGTTCTCAATGGTGACTGAAAACAACAATTCAATTTCTCACATTAATAATGAAGCTCAGGTAGGCAAAACGTAGCCCCACGTTTTGAACCATGAAATGGAACACATTCACTGCCTAACAACTTCACTACCCTCTATTTTCTCCAAAATCAGACAGAATCCAGCCCCTGTTTTTACCCACCAACATTCTTCTCTGTTCCTTGAGGTCCTCCTCATTTCTTCCAGGCTCAGCTCAAGGCTTCATCTCTATGAAGCCTTCTCTGACTGACTTCCCTATCCTGTAATAACTGGTATTGAACTACCTGATAATGAGTAAAAATATTGTCTTTAACAGTACTGGGGCATGCCTGATGCATGAGATTCCAAATGATATGAAAAATATAATGAAAACATTGGACCAGGAATCTTTTCCCGTCCCCATCACTCTTCTGGTTTAGTAGGGAGTTTTTTTGTTGTTGTTTTTGAGATGGCATCTCGCTGTCGCGCAGGCTGGAGTGCAGTAGCACGATCTCAGCTCACTACAACCTCTGCCTCCCAGGTTAAAGCGACTCTCGAGCCTCAGCCTCCTGAGTGGCTGGGATTACAGGTGTGCACCACCATGCCCAGCTAATTTTTGTATTTTTCGTAGAGACGGGGTTTCACCATGTTGGCCAGGCTAGTCTCGAACTCCTCACCACAAGTGATCCACCTGCCTCGGCCTCCCAAAGTGCTGGAATTACAGACGTGAGCCACCATGCCCGGCTAATTTTTGTGTTTTTAGTAGAGACAGGATTTCACCATGTTAGTCAGACTGGACTCGAACTCCTGACCTTAGGTGATCCGCCTGCCTTGGCCTCCCAAAGTGCTGGGATTACAGGCGGGAGCCAATGCGCCCAGCCGAGGGTCATTTTTAACTAGCATTGTGATCGATTCAGGTTTAGCTGGGAATCTTGCTCCATGACATTTAAATACATTATCAGAGGCAAGTAACTGCCTCGCCTTAGGGCGGAGTTAGCCAAACTGCTGTCTATCTAACAATCTTCAACACAGGCTAGGTTTACAGCCACCATTACTTGATAAGAACATCCAAAGGAAATTGAAGGATGCTATGCTATATATAACCTTGCAAAATCGATGACAAAAATTATCTTAACTCTGAGTTTTCTTGAGAAGCATATTGTAACCCAAAATTCAGGGCCGGGGGGCGGGGGGAACCAGCAGGGTCCACAAGTACTCTAGACAGCCTAACCTTAATTTTCACAGTAAGCTTAGCATATAAGCATGGGGTAGCCAAATACAATTTCCTACTTTAATCCTCTTATCAACGGGGAAGAAAATGGAAAAAGCTGCAGAATCCAGTCCCCCGGGTAAGTGAGGTCTCTACAAGCAGTAAGCAGAGGGAAAGCGTTATCCGAAAAGAGCCGAATCAGAATGTATTTTCTTACCCACCCTCCCAACCTTAAAAGAACTGTCCAGCAGAATGTGACACAATCGGCCTCTCCGGCGCCCATCAATCCAGCACAGCCCTCTGACCACACCGCTAATCTCCAAGTATCTTTCACAAATAAGTCACTCCTATGGCTCCCGTCTTGTAGTGAGAACTGCTAGCAATATTCTTAATGTGAACACCTGCGGCGTTCAGTCGGATTCTGCCTTGAGAAAACAGAATCCACACACAAGGCGAACAGGCAGAGCATGGCAAGATCAGGTTGTACCAGAGCCGAAGGGTAAGTTTACAGAAACCCGTATCTAATTAATGCCTGTAACACGCTAGTAACCGAATCGGGGACAGCTTTGTCCCTTTCCGCAGTGAGAACGGGGCCCGCCCGGAGCCCGGGGAACCGAAGGTTTAGGAGCCCAAGGTCACCCACGAATCCCAGCCGTTCCCTGGGGCGACTTCCTGGAGCAGCCACGTGTTCCCCCGGCGCCGCACGCCGCGCAGCTGCACCTTGGCTGCGCCCGCGCTCCCGGACCCGCAGCCCGGAGCCGGCGCACTAGGGCCTGCGGCCTTCAAGGGCGAGGACCCGAAGTCCCCGGGGCTGAGAGCGACAGTGGGGGTACACCTGGTCTCGTCATTCGTCGCTCTGTGACCGAGGAGGCGGGCAAGAAGGCAGAGAGAAGGGAAGGGACGAGAGGCGAAGGGACGAGAGGCGCAGGGACGCCTCTGCGCACAGCCGCCGACCCCGTGTACCTGCAGCCGCTCGAGGCGCCGCCACAGCCCCTTCCCCACAGGCTCGCGGCCCCGCTCCATCCCGGCCGCCCCGCCTGGGGCCGCGACCGCTTTCCCGCTCCCCGTGCGGCTCCCTATGGCTGCTGGACAGCACCGGAGCGGCCGCTCCAGCCAGCCCCGCAGGATGAAGGGAGGACACGAGGGTCGGTGTAGTTCTAGAAGCCCGCACTCACACTAGCGCGTCCTCCGTCCCGAGCCGCCACCCGATATCCCGACGCTCTGAGGGGATGGCGGCCCCTAACCGGCGGTTTATAGCCTGGCCCCGCCCCCGGCCCCCAGGGGGGCTGTGCGTCACTTCCTGAGGCACGTACGCTCGCGAGGTGCTCTGACAGATCGCCCGGGGGGCGGGGATGCGCGCGCAGCGGGCGGGGCCCTATGCGGAGGGCGCTGCGGGCGAGGCGAAGGCCAAGGGAAAAGGCGCCAAGGCAGCAGGTGCCCCGAGGAGCCGCGCGATGGGCGCACTGGCCTCTGCCTCGGCGCCTTCCTCCACCCTGGTAGCCTGGCAGCCTCCGCCTGACCTTGACCAACCTCCAGTCCCTGCAGTGCTAGGTCCAATCTGTTGGCGTTGACGCTTAAATGTTGGATATTGCACTGCGGCAGTGCCTTGAAATGTACGTGCAGGATGGAATGTTAGGTAACTATTAAAGCCACTCTTGTGAAGATGTATTTTGCAGCCTCAGAAATACAAAAAGGAAAAGAAAAGCAAAATGCAAATTTTTATTCAGAATGTATACAAGCTGCACTTTAACCAAGACTAGCGGAGTGCTTTGCGTAATGTTTAATGCATGAGGGAATAAAAGGGAAAATAGAAACAAGTGACTTAATAGGGTGATAGGATTGTAGATTAACTTTCGTTTTCATTGCCATCGCTGTTATTGGATTGTGCAATGAATAACAAATAAATAAAATTCAATTCTTGTCACTGTTTAAACTCTTTCCAAACAATCACACCCTCTCCCTCCCTCTGGTCAGTAACCAGCAGGCCAGGGAGGTAGTAGCTACAATGCAAGAAAGCAACCCATACCTTAAAAAGCATTGCACATAAACTGACCTTCAGGCCCGTAGGGACACAGAACAGCCCTTTAAGAAGCAAATCCGTTTCTGGGCCTTGGGCTTTTACTCTTCCCTTTATTTCTTCTGCTCTAAGATAGAGAAAGTACTTGGGATTCTCACCGCCTTTCTCTTTACTCCCATTCTCTAAAATCTCTCTCCCCAAAGAGAAGTGTTTAAAAGTCATATGAGTTGCCAGGCGCGGTGGCTCACGCCTGCAATCCTAACACTTTGGGAGGCCGAGGTGAGCGGATCACGAGGTCTGGAGTTCGAGACCAGCCTGACCAATATGGTGAAACCCCATCTCTACTAAAAAAATTTCAAAAAAAATTAGCCAGGCATAGTGGCACGCGCCTGTAATCCCAGCTACTCAGGAGGCTGAGGCAGAAGAATCGCTTGAACCCAAGAGGCGGAGGTTGCAGTGAGCCAAGATCGCGCCATTGCACTCCAACCTGGGCGACAGAGCAAGATTCCATCTCAAAAAAAAAAAAAAGTCATATGAGCAGGAGCATTGCTGCACCTTTAATGATCTAATCAGGAAAAGGTTAAGGATGCACATCCACAGAGGGCCTACCTTAACATTCAGACACCAGGCCTGCTCCCCTGTGGTGTTCCTTCTTTATTTCTTTAATTATTAATTTTATTTATTTTTATTATTTTTACTTTTAAGACAGTGTCTTGCTCTGTCACCCTGGCTGGAGTACAGTGGCATGATCTCGGGCTCACTGCAACCTCTGCCTCCGGATTCAAGCGATTCTCCTGCCTCAGCCTCCCAAGTAGCTGGGACTACAGGTGTGTGCCACCATGCCAGGCTAATTTTTGTATTTTGAGGAGTGACGGGATTTTATCATGTTGGCCAGGCTTGTCTCGAATTCCTGACCTCAGGTGATCTGCCCACCTTGGCCTCCTAAAATGTTGGGATAACAGGCATGAGCCACCATGCCCAGCCTATTTATTTTTTATTTTTAATTTGACGCAGGGTTTGCTATGTAGCCCAGACTAGTCTTGAACTCCTGGGCTCAAACAATCCTCCTGCCTCCGGTCTCCCAAAGTGCTGGGATTATAGGCATGAGCTAACATGCCTGGCTTTCTGCCTTTCCTTGACTGAAGTATCTTTTAAAAAGAAACAAACAATGCTGGTATTTGCAGGTGAAAATCTTATAGCCTCATGGAGGACATAGGTTTAGGTGGCCAGATGCGATGGCTAATCCCTGTAATCCCAACACTTTGGGAGACTGAGGCAGGTGGATCTTCTGAGGTCAGGAGTTCAAGACCAGCCTGGCCAGCATGATAAAACCCCATCACAACTAAAAATACAAAATTTAGTCTGGCGTGGTGGCGCACACCTGTAGTCCCAGCTACTCCAGAGGCTGAGGCAGGAGAATCGTTTGAACCCGGGAGGGGGGTGGCTGCAGTGAGCTGAGATCACACCACTGCCCTTCAGCCTGGGCAGCAGAGCAAGACTCTGTCTCAAAAAAAAAAAAAAAAAAGAAAGAAAGAAAGAAAAGAAAAGAAAGAAAAATATGTTTAGGAGACATTTAGAGGCCAGGACCATTTGGACATGAAAATTCAAATCTCAAAAATTTATATTCACTAAAATAAAACCATAAACGTGACACTAAAGAGGCTATCAATTATATTTTTATTTTTATGCTGTTATTAGTATTAATAGACACTGCAATTAAAGTCCACTTATTAACACTTTTACTATTTATTTATTTATTTTTAAACAGTCTTACTCTGTCACCCAGGCTGGAGTGCAGTGGCGCCATCTCGGCTCAATGCAACCTCCACCTGGGTTCAAGCGATTCTCCTGCCTCAGCCTCCCGAGTAGCTGGGATTACAGGCACGTGCCACCACGCATGGCTAATTTTTTGTATTTTTAATAGAGACGGGGTTTCTCCATGTTGGCCAGGCTGGTCGTGAACTCCTGCCCTCATGATCTGCCTGCCTTGGCCTCCCAAAGTGCTGGGATTACAGGCGTGAGCCACCGAGCCTGGCCAAATTATTCGAAATTATTATTGGAAATTATTTAATTTCCAACCCTCCACAAACTATTCCATGAGGCTTACCTCATCCTGGAACTAAAACTCTTGCAGTTCTTCTGCATCGTACACAGAAATACGAGAAGTTTCATAAAGGGAAGGAGGTTGGCAAGGAAAAAGATACCATGAGCTGTGGGGAAAAGAAAAGAGCACAAAGCCTGGAGGGCCAAGAAGCTGGAGTTCTCAACTTTCCTGAGCCTGGGTTGTACCAGCTCTAAAATGGGAATAAAGGCTGGGCACGGTGGCTCACACGTCTAATCTCAGCACTTTGGGAGGCTGAGGCGGGCGTATCATTTGAGGTCAAGAGTTCGAGACCAGCCTAACCAATGTGGTGAAACCCCATCTCTACTGAAAATACGAAAATTAGCCGGGTGTGGTGGCAGGCACCTGTAATCCCAGCTACTCAGTAGGCTGAGGCAGGAGAATCGCTTGAACCCGGGAGGCAGAGGGTGCAGTGAGCTGAGATTGTGCCACTGCACTCCAGGCTGAGAGACACAGCAAGACTCCTTCTCAAAAAATAAAATGGGAATAAAAATACCTCATTCCAAAAATACCTCTTTTAGGGTCTAGAAGACCCTAAAAGCAATGACTGGCACATCATACACTGTTGGTCAGCATGGTTGAATCAGAGTCCTCGTGGGGCGGAGTGGGGTCAGGTAGGAACGTGACGTGGAAGATGTCTGCAGACTGGGATGGATGTGGGCTCATGAAGAGGAAGGATGAAGGCATTTCAGCAGAGGAGAACCGGCCACCTGAAGGCTCTGTAGTGAGAAGGAGCCTGTGGTGTGTGTTAAAATTCCTAAGGAGATGTCTGACAGCTAATTCAGGGGAATTACTGCTGGAAACAACAGTGCAGGATGATTAACGGCAAAATTCTGCCTCCCTCTCTTTTTTCTTCACCAAGAGATGAAAGCAGAAGTCTTGCTTTTTGGTGAGAGAGAACTGGCAGGAAAAGCAAACCAGATAAGCCACTTACCTAGTGAAAGAGCCCCAGCTGGCAGGGCATGGAGGCTCACGCCTGTAATCCCAGCACTTTGGGAGGCAGAGGCAGGAGGATCACTTGAGGTCAGGAGTTCGAGACCAGCCTGGCCAACATGACAAGACACTGTCTCTACTAAAAATACAAAAATTAGCCAGGCGTGGTTTTGTGTGCCCATAATCTCAGCTACTTAGGAGGCTGAGGCAGGAGAATCGTTTGAACCTGGGAGGCGGAGGTTGCAGTAAGCTGAGGCTGGGCCACTGCACTCCAGTCTGGGTGACAAAGTGAGTCCGCCTCAAAAATAAAATAAAAAGCCCCCGCCTAGAAATTAGCAACTTGTCCCAGTGGGACTGTCACCCACTGTGCTGCGGAAACATGGGCGTCAGTCATGGCTCTGTACTTCATTTTCCCTGTCTGCCATGTGGAAATAATATCCCTTTATTGCCTTCATTCATTTACCAGTGAAATAAAAAGTAAGAAAACTTATTAAACTACATGTTTATACAAATTTAAGGTGTTACTAGTGCAGAGCCCAGTCTAAGTGAATAAATGTGGTGGTGACGGGTCGAAGCTTTAAAAAAAAAAAAAGAAAAGGAAAATTTTTTTTTCTCGCTCTGTCACCCAGGCTGGAGTGCAATGGCGCAGTCTCGGCTCACTGCAACCTCCGCCTCCCAGGTTCAAGCGATTCTCCTGCCTCAGCGTCCCGAGTAGCTGGGATTACAGGTGCCTGCCACCACACCCAGCTAATTTTTGTATTTTTAGTGGAGATGCGGTTTCACTATGTTGGCCAGGGTGGTCTCGATCTCCTGACCTCGTGGTCTGCCTGCCTCGGCCTCCCACAGTGCTGGGATTTCAGGCGTGAGCCACCGCGCCCGGCCCTTCAACGGCTTTTGAATGCACCTACTCCAGAAAAAGTGACTTGGTCATTGATAATAGTGGATACAGAAAGGTAATGCCATCATTATTTATCGAGTACTGTTATGTGCTGGAAAAGGACGTGTAAAGAGGTAAGAAGCAAGTCTGTACCCCTGAAAAGGCAAACAATGTAGCTGGGGAAGCATAATGTATATTTATAAGAACTTATATTTAAAGGCCAGGCCTAGTGCGGTGGCTCATGCCTCTAATCCCAGCACTCAAGAGGCCAAGGCAGGAGGATCGATTGCTTGAGGCCGGGAGTTCAAGACCAGCCTGTGCAACACAGTGAGACCCCCTATCTCTACAAAAAAAACTTAAAAATTGCCAGGTGTGGTGGTGCTGCCTGTAGTCCCAGCTACTCTGGGGGCTGAAGTGGGAGGATGGCTGGAGCCCAGGAGTTCAGGGTTACAATGAACTGTGATTGCACCACTGCACCCAGCCTGGGCAACAGAGCAAGACCCTGTCTCAACTAATAATAATAATAATAATAATAATAATAAATATATAATGCCAGTCACTGTGGCTGTAGTGAGCCGAGATTACATCACTGCACCCAGCCTGGGCAACAGAGCAAGACCCTGTCTCAAATAATAATAATAATAAATATATAATGCCAGTCACTGAGGCTGTAGTGAGCCGAGATTGCACCACTGCACTCCAGCCTGGGCAACAGAGCAAGACCCTGTGTCAAATAATAAGAATAATAAGAATAAATATATAATGCCAGTCACTGTGGCTCATGTCTGTAATCCCAGTACTTTGGGAGGCCGAGGCAGGTGGATGGCCTGAGTGCGGGCATTTGAGACCAGCCTGGACAACATGGCAAAACCCCATCTCTACCAAAAATACAAAAAATTAGCTGGGCATCTGGAGGCTGAGGTGAGAGAACAGCTTGAGCTTGGGACGCTGAGGCTGTAGTGAGCCAAGATTGCATTGCTGCACCCAGCCTGGGCAACAGAGCAAGACCCTTTCTCAAATAATAATAATAACAATAATAATAATAATAAATATATAATGCCAGTCACCGTGGCTCATGTCTGTAATCCGCAGTACTTTGGGAGGCCGAGGCAGATGGATGGCCTGAGTGCAGGAGTTCGAGACCAGCCTGGACAACATGGCGAAACCCCATCTCTACCAATAGTACAAAAAATTAGCTGGGCATCTGGAGGCTGAGGTGAGAGAATGGCTTGAGCTTGGGAGGCTGAGGCTGTAGTGAGCTGGGATTGCATTACTGCACCCAGCGTGGGCAACAGAGTGAGACTGTCTCAAAAAAAAAAATCCCACAAAAATACCATTAATTTGCCAACTTTGTAATAGAGTTACAAAGTTGCCACTTGCTCTTTCTGGGGTCCTACCTGTGGCCCAAACAGCAGATGAAGTCTCTTAGTTCAGCATTTCTCAAACGTTTTTTACTGCATTTCATGGACAAATGTCCATCTTACTTCACAACTCAGTACACCCATGTGTATGCGTGTGTGTATGCGTGTGTATACACGTGTATATTTCCTTCAGTATACCCACGTGGATGTGTGTGTATATATGTGTATATTTCCTTGAAACCCAAAGTAAAAGTTTCATGAAATAATACCCTTGAGGTGTGGAAAGCCCTCCAGAATTTTCTATTCTATTTAATAGTAAAAATGCTAATTTTTAACCCATTCAATTGATTTCCCAATGGGCCGTAACCTATTTTTGAAAAGCATAGTCCTAGGCCATTTCCTCTCTCAGAGCACAAGACTTTTTAGTGAACAGGATAAATGACTTTTTAGTGAACAGGATAAATGATGCTCAAAGTTAAATTTCAATTCCCAAGGTTTCTCCCTGTTCTTTCTGCTTGTCGCTGTTTCAACTTTCTACCGCCCTACATTTCAGCAAATATTGGTTACGGTTTTTTTGTTTGTTTGCTTGTTTGTTTGTTTTTAATGAGTTGGGAGGCTGAGTTAGAAGGCAGAGAGAAAGTCTTTTCAATCTTTTTTTTTTTTTTGAGATGGAGTCTCACTCTGTCACCCAGGCTGGAGTGCAGTGATGCAATCTCGGCTCACCACAACCTCTGCCACCTGGGTTCAAGTGATTCTCCTGCCTCAGCCTCCTGAGTAGCTGGGACTACAGGCGCACCACCACGCCTGGATAATTTTTGTATTTTTATTAGAGATGGGGTTTCACCATGTTGGCCGGGCTGGTCTCGAACTCCTGACCCCATTGATCCACCCGCCTCAGCCTCCCAAAGTGCTGGGATTACAGGCGTGAGACACCACACCCAGTGTTTTCACTATTTTTACTTTTTTAAATTTCTTAAAATAAAATATGTAGAACGAGGGTCTCCCTATGTTGCCCAGGCTGGTCTCAAACTCCTGGGCTCAAGGGATCCTTCTGCCTCGGCCTCCCAAGGTGCTAGGATTACAGGCTTGAGCCACCATGCCCGGCCTGAAGTCTTTTCAAATGCTGTCAAATAGCTGCACACACTCCGGTCAGTGAGGGCAGCACCCTGCCTGTCACACGGCTGGTCTTCACAGCAGCTTCTACAGAAATCACTCTAACCTACCTTTAGCTCTGACCCTAGCTCCTATTTAACATGCCGGATCCATTTTATTTTCCTTGGAATCCTAAGCCTCGGGCAATCACTTTAGGACCAGAGTCATAAAATAAAAATGTGGAGCTCTGCCACTTTGGAAGAGGATGCAACCTAGAAAAAAGGCAGGTGGACTGTCAACTCATAGATTTGAGGTTGATACTATTTTCCATTTTATTTTGCATTTCTTTTTCTCCACCCTCAGTTTCCTGTCCTTATCCTGCTGACTCAATTATTTTTTCTTTCTCCATTGCCAAACGGAAGGTCACCCACGAGAACATGGAATAGGGGCAAGATTCAGATTAATATGGAGGAGTTTGCTCCCATTTTATAGCAAATGGAAAGGTTACTTAGGACAGTGAAAGATAACTAATTTTGTTTTTTTTTTGTTTGTTTGTTTGTTTTCTTTTGAGATGGGGTTGTGCTCTGTCACCCAGGCTGGAGTGCAGTGGCACGATCTCAGCTCACTGCAATCTCCACCTTCCGGGTTCAAGTGATTTTCCTGCCTCAGCTTCCTGAGTAGCTGAGATTACAGGTGCCCACCACCATACCCAGCTAATTTTTGTATTTTTAGTAGAGATGGGGTTTCACCATGTTGGCCAGGCTGGACTCGAACTCCTGACCTCAAGTGATGCACCCACCTTGGCCTTCCAAAGTGTTGGGATTACAGGCGTGAGCCACCATGCCTAGCCAAAGACAATTTTTAAATTGATTACAAGGACATTTATGCCAACCAGTACAGTGGTCTAAGTTGAAGTTTTGAGTAGGATATGAAGTTCTATTTAGTCCCATTCGGAGGCAAAATAGAACTCACTGCATAATAGAGTTTCAAGTTCAGAAGGAACTATATAACTAATGTACTGTCTCTGACCTATAGTAGGTGCTCAAAAAATGTATGTTGAATTAATTCAACAAAATTCCTCTACTTCACCTCATCAGGTGGTTATCTAGTGTCTCCTTTACCTCTCCAATGGGAGCAAATCTATAATTTCCCAAAGCAGAAAGACCTGGGCAGTTTGAACTGTCAGAAAGTTTTTATCTGGGCCAGGTGCGGTGGCTCACGTCTATAATATCAGCACTGTGGGAGGCCAAGGTGGGCAGATAACCTGAGGTCATTCAAGACCAACCTGGCCAACAGGGTGAAACCCCATCTTTACTAAAACTACAAACATTAGCCAGGCATGGTGGCGCACACCTGTAATCCCAGCTACTCAGGAGGCTGAGGCAGGAGAATTGCTTGAACCCAGGAGGCGGATGTTGCAGTGAGCTGAGATCGCACCACTGCACTCCAGCCTGGGCGACAGCGTGAGACTCTGTCTCAAAAGAAAAACAAAAGTTTGATCTACTAAACTAAATTCTCTCTCCCTCTTCTATATATTAATTATTTTATATATATATATATTTTTTTTAAATAGATATGGGGTCTTGCTATGTTGCTCAGGCTGGTCTCAAACTCCTGGGATCAAGCAGTCCTCCTACCTCAGCCTCCCAAAGTGTTGGGATTACAGGTGTGAGCCAACACGCCCATCCTATAAATTAATTATTGTTTGAAGACTGCTCTCCTGTTCACAGCTGTCTTCTCCAGCTAAATATCCAAATCTCTTCTAATGGTTACCACAGGGCGTGATTCCATGTCTCCCCACCCACTGGTCACTTTGTGGTTTTTTTTGTGTGTTTTTTTTTTTATTTTTTTGTTTTGAGATGGAGTTTCGCTTTTGTCGCCCAGGCTGGAGTGCAGTGGCATGATCTCCGCTCACTGCAACCTCCGCCTCCCAGGTTCAAGCGATTCTCCTAACTCAGCCTCCCGAGTAGCTGGGATTACAGGCGCCTTCTACCACGCCGGGCTAATTTTTGTGTTAGTACAGACGGAAGTTTGCTGGTCTCGAACTCTTGACCTCAGGTGACCTGCCCGCCTTGGCCTCCCAAAGTGCTAGGATTACAGGCATGAGCCACCGCGCCAGGCCCCACTGGTCATTTTTGGAAGTATAGTTTGGCCAATCCAGAGGGGGCAGGAACATCATTCCCCTGTTGTAGATGCTGCAGCTTTTGGTGGCCATCTGTCTGCCACCATATTCACTACCTTAATAGCCACTGTCTATTGTTAACTTCTGTTGAGTTTTCAGCAGGGTTCAAGGGAATAGATCAATCTTTGGAGCAGAAAGACCTGGGCCCCAAATCTAGTTTTGCCGTGTACTAGTACCCTCTATGCTCCTTTTATCATGGAGAATGTGATATCCAGGTACTGTTACAGTCTACTATAGCGTATGAAGAGGATCTGTCCCCGCTTATCACCAGTCTAATTCAGCTGGAGGTGGAAAAGAGCCTGATCTATTTGGCTAGGAACATCCTTGCCTTGGAGCTGAATAAAAATAGCCAAGGTTTATTGTACATCTACCAGGTGCTCCATTCTAGCGCCTTTAAACATATGAGCTCATGCAATCCTCAGAACAATTCTTAAAAATAAATTCTTAAAAAAAATTAAAAACTCTTAAAAATAAAGAGGTAATCCCATTTTCAGGTGTGGAAACTAGCTTAATACAGAAGTAAAGTAACTTGCCCCATGTCACATGGCTAATAAATAGTGACAGCAAGAATTCAAGCCTAGGTCATCTAGCTTCTAACCTGGCCCTAAAAAATTCCACTACACTGCCTCCTTACAAACCCAGGCATGACACAGACTGACTGCACCACCCGCACAGCTCTGCAGACACCTCCCCAGGGAAGAATTTCTATTCAAGAGGTACAGGGACCATCTAGGTGGAACCATTTGAGAAGATCTAGTATCTGAGGGATCTATTTTTTTTCACTTCAGATTTAAGTTAATTTCAAAATTTGGATTCATATTCCTATGTGGGGAATCCCAGATATTTCTTTCTTTTCTTTCCTTTTTTTTTTTTTTTTTGAGACGGAGTTTCACTCTTCTTGCCCTGGATGGTGCAATAGCGCCATCTCAGCTCACTGCAACCTCCACCTCCTGAGTTCAAGCAATTCTCCTGCCTCAGCCTCCCAAGTAGCTGGGATTACAGCCATGCGCCACCACGCCCAGCTAATTTTTTTTTTTTTGAGACGGAGTCTCTCTGTGTCACTGAGGCTGGAGTGCAGTGGTGTGATGTCGGCTCAGTGCAACCTCTGACACCAGGGTTCAAGCGATTCTCCTGCCTCAGCCTCCTGAGTAGCTGAGATTACAGGCAAGTGCGACCACACCCGGCTAATTTTTGTATTTTTAGTAAAGACGAGGTTTCACCATGTTGGTCAGGCTGGTCTCGAACTCCTGACCTGATCCACCCGCCTCGGCCTCCCAAAGTGCTGGGATTATAGGCGTGAGCCACCGCGCCTGGCTAGAATCCCAGATACTTCTAAAAATAAGAGTTTGTAGTACAACTGATGCTCCAGAAATCTGGGTACCATTTGACAGAAATGCAGTGCATTCATATTGTCCCTGCAAGCTAGCTCATTTGCTTAAATTTCCAGAATGCGTACCTACCTTTGATAAGGAGAGTTATTGAATTGATAAAATTATCGTATGAATGTATATATATTAAACATTGTTTCTGGGCCGCATGGCAAAACCCTGTCTCTACAAAAAAATACCAAAAAAAAAAAAAAAATGCCAGGCATGGTGGTACACTCCTGAAGTCCCAGCTACTTGGGAGGCCGAGGCGGGAGGATCCCTTGAGCCCAAGAGTTTGA
This sequence comes from Homo sapiens, assembly GCF_000001405.40. Lineage (NCBI taxonomy): Eukaryota > Metazoa > Chordata > Mammalia > Primates > Hominidae > Homo > Homo sapiens. The sequence continues at coordinate 196,093,118 of NC_000003.12, forward strand.
GGCTGCAGTGAACCGTAACCATGCCACTACACTACACTGGGAACAGAGTAAGAGCCTGTCTCAAAAATAAATAAATAAATACTTCAAAAAAAAAAAAACTTTGTTTCCAAAATATAAATTAGTCAGTTTGGTTTTTCTTATTTGCATCTTTATCTTTCTTTCTTTTTTTGTAGAGACAGGACCTTGCTATGTCGACCAGGCTGGTCTTGAACTCCTGGCCTCAGGCTATCCTCCCACCCTGGCCTCCCAAAGTGCTGGGACTGCAAGCATCAGCCACTGTACCCCGCCTCTTATTTGTATCTTCTTTTGACATCTGAGCTTGCAACTCTCACTTATGTCTGAGTTTCCCTTCCTCTATGGCTGGGACCTTAAGCAATAATACTTCTGATAAACTGTGCGCCAGATGGCCAAACATTGCCTAAAAAAAATGACTAAGAAAGAGGCCTTTGAAAAGAACATTGTGAAGTGGGGATGACTGATGATGTAAATAGGAAAAATGAACAAATGTGTGAAGAAAACATTTGCAAACAGACGTCTACATCTAAATCCCAAGTCAGCAAATCTAGTATTCAGGAAAAATACCAAATAGGCAGAAACTTTTTGGTTTCTTCAGCTTTAATATACACAGTAGACAAATTTTCCTTTGGTTTGGAAAATGTTCCTGCCAAAACTTGTATTTCTTATACATGGAAATGTGGTCAAGGAGGCAGCTGTACAGTGGTTACATTTGTGAGAGCTGGAGTGGCTTCCCTTGGTTCATCTCACACAATCCCCTAAGTGGTAGGAAGACCCGTATCCCAGGGCTGGGGTGCCCAGGTGTCAGAGTGCGGTAACGTTCGCTGAGCACCTATGGTGTCCAGGTACTGAGCTGGGAACTTATATTTGTATCATCTTACTTTGGCCCCCAACAATTCTGTGAAACAGGTATCATACCTATTTTATAGATGAATAAGTAGAAGTGTGAAGAATATAAAAGGATTGGCTGAAAGTGGCACAGCTTTTAAATAGCAAGACCCTAACTTCAGATCTCTGTGATTTCTGTTTTTTTTTTTTTTTTTTAAATAAATGTTAAGAGATATAGCAATGGGGATCTCACCATGTTGTCCAGGCTGGTCTCAAACTCCTGGGCTCAAGCAATCCTCCCTCCTTAGCCTCCCAAAGTACTGGGATTACAGGTGTGAGCCACCATGCCTGGCCAGGTTTCTGTATTAAAACCACTTTTTACTATATCTCAGGTATGGAAATATGAAAACACTGTTGTAGCAGGCGGGTAGTTGAAGCTCTGCACTCAGGGTAGGCTGACGTACTGCCAGGCTCTGACCAGGACCTTACAACAATACCCATCCTTGGAAGGTTTGAGTCAACTTTATAGCTGAATTTGATGCCAGGAGCACAAAGCAAAAGATCCCCATATATAAAGACAAGGTTATAAGGTACAGTGTGCCTGGTACAACTATCTTCCAGAATGCTTCCCAGAAGTAACATAGCTGGGCACCCTGGCACATGTTTATACTCTCAGCTACTTGGAGGTGCTGAGGCAGGAGGATCATTTGAGCCCAGGAGTCAGAGGCCAGCCTGAGCAACATGCTACGAAGGGGGGCAGGCTTCTCTGATAAGGTCGAGCCCAAGTAGGCAATGAGAGCAGAGAATTCCAAAGGGAGAGACAGTTCTGGGCCCGTGAGCCAATCCTGCTAGCCAGGTCCCCTCCAACCCCCTATTCCAGGCAGACCACTTCTGTGTCAAGGTCTGAAATCCAGCCTTGACTTTATTTTATTTATGTATTTTTTGAGACAGCTCTGCTGTACAGGCCAGAATGCAGTGACATGACCATAGCTCACTGTAACCTCAAGCGATCCTCCTGCCTCAGCCTCCCAAGTAGCTGGAACTACAGGCATGTGCCATCACACCTGTCAAATTTTAATTTTTTTTTGTAGAGATGGAGTCTCACTGTGTTGCCCCGGCTATTTTTGAACCCCTGAGATCAAGGGATCCTCCAGCCTTGGCCTCCCAAAGTGCTGGGATTACAAGCGTGAGCCACCACGCTGGGCTAATTTTTAATTTTTTTTTGTAGAGACAAAGTCTCACTATATTGCCCAGGCTATTCTTGAACTCCTAAGCTCAAAGGATCTTCCAGCCTCCTCGGCCTCCCAAAGTGCTGGGATTACAGGTGAGAGCCAGCATGCCTGGCTCTAGCCTTGGCTTTATTAAGGTACAGGCAGGTTTTCCTGCAGGTAGTAAGATGAATAAAGGTTAGATTGGTTTTGAGATCCAGATAGAGGCTAGACTCTAGCCTAGCGCTTCTTTTTTTTTTTTTTTTTTTGAGACGGAGTCTTGCCCTGTCTCCCAGGCTGGAGTGCAGTGGCGTGATCTCTGCTCAGTGCAACCTCCGCCTCCTGGGTTCACGCAATTCTCCTGCCCCAGCCTCCCGAGTAGCTGGGATTACAGGCACATGCCTCCACACCCGGCTAATTTTTGCATTTTTAGTAGAGACGGGGTTTCACCATGTTGGACAGGCTGGTCTCGAACTTCTGACCTCATGATCACCTCAGCCTCCCAAAGTGCTAGGATTACAGGCATGAGCCACCACACCCAGCCTAGCCTAGTGCTTCTTAAACATTCATGTGAGCTCCATGCAGTGTCACATCTATAATCCCAGCACTTTGGAGGCCAAGGCAGGAGGATTGCTTGAGCCCAGGAGTCCAAGGCTACTCTGAGCTATGATTGTGCCACTGCAGCTAAGCCTTGACTACAGAGTGAGACCTTGTTTCTTAAAAATATATATATTCATATACATATATTATTTATTTTCATTTATTATTTATTTATTTATTTTTGAGAGAGAAAGAGACGAAGTTTCACTCTTGTTGCCCAGGCTGGAGTGCAGTGGCGCAATCTCAGCTCACTGCAACCTCCACCTCCCGGGTTCCAGTGATTCTCCTGCCTCAGCCTCCTGAGTAGCTGGGACTACAGGCACCCACCACCACGCCCGGCTAATTTTTGTATTTTTTGTAGAGAAGGGGTTTCACCATGTTGGCCAGGCTGATCTCTAACTCCTTACCTCAAGTGATCCACCTACCTCAACCTCCCAAAGTGCTGGGATTACAGGTGTGAGCCACCATACCCAGCCCTTGAAAATATTTTTTTAAAGAAACTTTAATGTGCAGATAAGTCCCATGGAGGGGACGTGTTAAAATGCAGATTCTGATTCAGAAGGTCTGGTGGGGGTCCAAGACGGTGTTTCTAACAAGCTCCTAACTGATACCCAGGCTGCTGCTGGTCTTAGACCAACCCTTGAGTAGACTTTAGAGGAAGAAGTTTTTATTAGCTGTTTCTACAACACTCCCCACAGAAAGGGCACCCTGTGTGGCCAGCTGGCATGAAAGCGGTTTCTGCTTGGCAGCTATTTTTAGGTAGCTGTAATGCATTCTATTTTTTGCATTCTAAGCTTTTCAGTGGACCAGGGCGATCCCTGGGGCTGTCCCAGCTTCAGCAACGGTCCCTAAGACCATTCAGCTACTTTGCAGCCACTGCACAACTGCCAAACAATCCACTAATCCTGATCTTGAAACAATTTTCCCTCCTGAGAAGACACCAGACCTCAGCAGGAAGACTTGGCCTGCACAGCAGTTCTCTTACCCCACACGAATTAATAAATAGGCCTCATGAATCGGGATTTTGTGCCCTTGGGTAGCGAATTACCTGATGACTCTGGTGAACTGACGAAACTGAGTTTGTGAAACTGTGAGCCGGAAGAACAGTCTACAGCTGTCGTGGACTCCCCTGAACCCCTGGGAAGACGCAGCTCAACAGCCAGTCCACACGAACCCTGCTCTGAAACCTCTCCTGCAGACTGGGCCTGGGCTAGAGAAGAACAGGAGTTTTCTTTTCTCCTTTTTTTTGAGACGGAGTTTTGCTCTTGTTGCCCAGGCTGGAGTGCAGTGGCATGATCGTGGCTCACTGCAACCTCTGCCTCCTGGGTTCAAGTGATTCTCCTGCCTCAGCCTCTGGAGTAGCTGGGATTACAGGCGTGCACCACCACGCCCAACTAATTTTTGTAATTTTAGTAGAGATGGGGTTTCACCGTTTTGGTCAGGCTGGTCTCAAACTCCTGACTTCGAGTGATCCACCCGCCTCGGCCTCCCAAAGTGCTGGGATTACAGAGATGAGCCACCGCGCCAAGCTGTGAATTGATTTTTTAGTGAAACTTCAGGGAGCCAAGGACTTTGGCCCCCACAGTACCATCTGGATTATTGGGAACAGGTGCAAAATATATAGGGCCAGCGAAAACTCTCAAAGGAATGATTGACATTATAAATTTAGAGAGGAAGGACTGCCTTCCTTTCTGTGACAACAGCACTTTAATGTTCCAAAACAGGATGTCCTTGGATTTGGTTTTAATGCTTATGTATATAAGGTTAGCTATTGCCAGGAGACTGATACAATTAATCAGAGTCCATCTCTCCCTTCCAGGCACACCTTCACTTCGCTGCAGTTTCTCATGGCCATAAATCCATTAGAGCAAGAAACAGCAAGATTAGTAGAGGGCCATAAATTTAGATTCTGGGCCATTTTACCTGATAAGTCTTTTTGTTCTTTTCTCTTTTTTTGAGATAGGGTCTCACTCTGTCACCCAGGCTGGAGTGCAGTGGAGTGGCCATGGCTCACCGCAGCCTCTACATCCCAGGCTCCAGCCATCCTACCTCAGCTTGCAGCTGGAACTACAAGAGCACGTCCCCACCCCTGGCTAGTTGTTTTGTAATTTTTGTAGAGACAGGATCTTTCTATGTTGCTAGGGCTGGTCTCAAACTCCTGGGCTCCAGTGATCCACCCACCTTGGCCTCCCAAAGTGCTGGGGTTTCAGGCGTGAATCATCATGCCCAGCCAGAAACCAGTCTTAAAAGACTGTATACTATAATGATTCTATTTATATGACATTCTGGAAAAGGTGAAATTATAGAGACCTAAAATACATCAGTGGTTGCCAGAGGCTTGGAGAATGAAGTATAGGCTGAATAGGTAAACCATATATGATATTTTAGGGCAGCGAAACTCTTCTGTATGGTACATGAGACTGCATTTTTCAAAACCCATAGAACTGGCTGGGTGTGGTGGCTCACGCCTGTAATCCCAGCACTTTGCGAGGCCAAGGCAGCGGATCACTTGAGGTCAGGAGTTTGAGACCAGCCTGGCCAACATGGTGAAACCCCGTCTCTACTGAAAATACAAAAAATAGCTGGGCATGGTGGTGGGTACCTGTAATCCCAGCTACTCAGTAGGCTGAGGCAGGAGAATCACTTGAACCCAGGAGGCAGAAGTTGCAGTGAGCCAAGATGGCACTTCTGCACTCCAGCCTGGGCGACACAGTGAGACATCATCTCAAAAAAAAAAAAAAAAAAAAAAAAAAAAACTTTAGCTGGCTGAGCGGCACGCGCCTGTAGTCCCAGCTACTCAGGAAGGTGAAGCAGGAGGATCCCTTGAATCCAGGAGTTCATGAGCTATGATCATCCCACAGCACTCCAGCCTCCGTGACAGAGCAAAACCCTGTCACTAAAACAAAACAAAACAAACAAACAAAAACCCATAGAGCACAAATTTCTCTACAGCACAAATTTCAACCTTAATATATGCAAATGTTAAAGCGGGAGTGGGAGGGTTCCCAGGATGGAATGCAAACTGTTATAAAGAACCTCACCATGCTACAAACATGACCTAACATCCAAGGGGAAGGAAGGGAAGTGCTGGGTGTTGAAGGGGATGGAAGGGAAGTGCTGGGCATTGAAGGGGATGGAAGGGAAGTGCTGGGCGTTGAAGGGGATGGAAGGGAAGTGCTGGGCGTTGAAGGGGAGGGAAGGGAAGTGCTGGGCGTTGAAGGGGAGGGAAGGGAAGTGCTGGGTGTTGAAGGGGAGGGAAGGGAAGTGCTGGGTGTTGAAGGGGAGGGAAGGGAAGTGCTGGGTGTTGAAGGGGAGGGAAGGGAAGTGCTGGGTATTGAAGGTGAGGGAAGGGAAGTGCTGGGCGTTGAAGGGGAGGGAAGGGAAGTGCTGGGCGTTGAAGGGGAGGGAAGGGAAGTGCTGGGCGTTGAAGGGGATGGAAGGGAAGTGCTGGGTGTTGAAGGGGAGGGAAGGGAAGTGCTGGGCATTGAAGGGGAGGGAAGGGAAGTGCTGGGTATTGAAGGGGAGGGAAGGGAAGTGCTGGGTATTGAAGGGGAGGGAAGGGAAGTGCTGGGTATTGAAGGGGAGGGAAAGGAAGGGAAATGCTGGGTATTGAAGGGGAGGGAAAGGAAGTGCTGGGCATTGAAGGGGATGGAAGGGAAGTGCTGGGTATTGAAGAGGATGGAAGGGAAGTGCTGGGTATTGAAGGGGAGGGAAGGGAAGTGCTGGGTATTGAAGGGGAGGGAAGGGAAGTGCTGGGTATTGAAGGGGAGGGAAGGGAAGTGCTGGGCATTGAAGGGGATGGAAGGGAATTGCTGGGCGTTGAAGGGGATGGAAGGGAAGTACTGGGCGTTGAAGGGGAGGGAAAGGAAGTGCTGGGCATTGAAGGGGAGGGAAGGGAAGTACTGGGTATTGAAGGGGAGGGAAGGGAAGTGCTGGGCATTGAAGGGGATGGAAGGGAAGTGCTGGGCATTGAAGGGGATGGAAAGGAAGTGCTGGGCATTGAAGGGGATGGAAGGGAATTGCTGAGCGTTGAAGGGGATGGAAGGGAAGTGCTGGGCGTTGAAGGGGAGGGAAGGGAAGTGCTGGGCGTTGAAGGGGAGGGAAGGGAAGTGCTGGGCGTTGAAGGGGAGGGAAGGGAAGTGTTGGGCGTTGAAGGGGATGGAAGGGAAGTGCTGGGCGTTGAAGGGGGTGGAAGGGAAGTGCTGGGCGTTGGGGGTGGAAGGGACGTGCTGGGCGTTGAAGGGGATGGAAGGGAAGTGCTGGGCGTTGAAGGGGATGGAAGGGAAGTGCTGGGCGTTGAAGGGGATGGAAGGGAAGTGCTGGGCGTTGAAGGGGATGGAAGGGAAGTGCTGGGTGTTGAAGGGGATGGAAGGGAAGTTCTGGATATTGAAAGAGAAGGAAGGGAAGTGCTGGGTATTGAAGGGGATGGAAGGGAAGCGCTGGTCTAAGTGACTTTGGAAATAAGTGAAGACTATAAGACTAAAAATAAAAGGAACTGTACATAAGCACTGAACTCTAACAGCAAAATTGTTTCCCATGGGGATATGGGTTAACAACTGTGAAACCACTCTACATTGTGCTGGGATTGAATGGATGGCAAGCCAGGGAGCCAGGTAGCTCACCGTTGTCTACACACACACACACACACACACACACACACACACAATTCTCTCTTGCTTATATTAATGTGTATATAAATATACATACATTAACAACTGTGTGTGTGTATATATATACACACATATAAATATATATGCTAATAATCATGTATGTGTTTATGTGTGTGTATGTATTATACAAGAATCATGTATGTGTGTTACATACATGATAGTTAATGTATATATATTTATATGTGTGCACCAGTTAGTACACACATATAAAAACTACAAAGCAAGTCGGCCAGACATGGTGGTTTATGCCTGTATTCCCAGCACTTTGGGAGACCAAGGCAGGAGGATTGCTTGAGCCTATTAGTTCGAGACCAGCTTGGGTAACTTGACAAAACCCTGTGTCTACAAAAAATACAAAAATTAGCCAGGTGTGGTGGCAGGTGCCTGTAATCCCAGCTCCCGAGGAGGCTGAGGTAGGAGGATCACCTGAGCCCGGAAGGTCAAGGCTGCAGTGAGCTATGATCGCACCACTGCACTCCATCCTCGGTGACAGAGTGAGACCCTCTCTAAAAAAAAAAAAAAAAGTCTGAAAAAGAAAACACAACAAGTATAGAGAAAGTCAAGAAAACTGAAGTTGTCTTTTTGAAAAGACCAACAAAACTGACAAAACAGTCTGGCGCTCACGCCTGTAATCCCAGCACTTTGGGAGGCTGGGGTGGGAGGATCACTTGAGGCCAGGAATTAGACACCAGCCTGGGCAACAGAGCAAGACTCCTGACCCCCAAGTCTCTACATGAATTTTTTTGTTTGTTTGTTTGTTTGAGATGGAGTCTCACTCTGTCGCCCAGGCTGGAGTGCCCAGGCTGGAGTGCAGTGGCGCGATCTCGGCTCACTGCAACCTCTGCCTCCCGGGTTCCCGCCATTCTCCTGCCTCAGCCTCCTGAGTAGCTGGGACTACAGGCACCCGCCACCGCGCCCGGCTAATTTTTTGTGTGTTTTTTAGTAGAGATGGAGTTTCACCATGTTAGCCAGGATGGTCTTGATCTCCTGACCTCGTGATCCGCCCACCTCGGCCTCCCAAAGTGCTGGGATTACAGGCGTGAGCCACCGCGCCCGGCCGAAAATTTTTAAAAATTAGGCATAGTGGAAACCTGTAGTCCTAGCTACTTGGGAGGCTGAAGAAGGATTGCTTGAGCCGAGGAGTGACCAATGATCAAGCCACTGCACTCCAGCCTGAGTGGCAGAGTGACACCCTGTCTCGATTTTTTAAAAAACTGACAAATCTTTTGCTAAACTGACCATTTTAAAAAGAGAAAAAGTGGCCAGGAGGGTGGCTCACGCCTGTAATCCCAGCACTTTGGGAGGCCAAGGCAGGCGGATCACGAGGTTAGGACATCGAGACCATCCTGGCCAACATGGTGAAAACCCATCTCTACTAAAAATAGAAAAAAAATTAGCTGGACGTGGTGGTTGGCACCTGTAGTCCCAGCTACTCGGGAGGCTGAGCCAGGACAATCACTTGAACCCAGGAGGTGGAGGTTGCAGTGAGCTGAGATCGTGCCACTCCACTCCAGCCTAGCGACAGAGCAAGACTCTCTCTCAAAAAAAGAAAAAAAGTTCAATATATGAAAATCAGCAATTAAAGAGGACATCACTATATACCTTACAGAAAAAAAAATAAATAAAAGGTGGCCAGGTACAGTAGCTCATGCCTGTAGTCCCAGCACTTTGGGAGGCTGAGGCAGGCAGATTGCTTGAGCCCAGGAGATCTGTTGTCCAGGAGATCTGAGATCAGCCTGGACAACATGACAAAACCCCATCTCTACAAAAAATACAAAAATTAGGCAGGTGTGGTGGCACAGGCCTGTAGTCCCAGCTACTCAGGGAGGCAGAGGCAAGAGGATGGCTTGAGCCCTGGAGGTTGAGGCTGCAGTGAACCCTGACGGTGCCCTGCACTGCAGCCTGGGTGACAAAGTGAGATCCTGTCTCAAAAAATAAATAAATAAAAATAGATTATAAAAGAATACCATGAATAACCATATGCCAACAAATTAGATAACTTATATAAAATAAAATGGGCACATTCCTTGAAAGACACAAATTTCTGAAACAGACAGAAGAAGAAGGAGAATATCTAAATAGACCTATAGACCTACAGCAAGTAAAGAGATTGAATTCATACTGACAGTGGCTCACACCTATAATCCCAGCACTTTTCAAGGCCGAGGCAGGAGGAGCACTTGAGCCTATGAGTTCAAGTCCAGCCTAGACAATGTAGCAAGACACTGCCTCTAATACAAAAATTAACACTAAAACAACAAAAACACTCAACAAACTAAAAGGAGCTACCTCAATCCAATAAAGGGCACATACAAAAAAACCTACAGCTAACAAAGTGAAAGACTTTCTCCCTACCAAAACAAAGATGTCCACTCTCACCTGTTCAACACTGTGAAGGAGGTTCTAGCCAAAGCAATTAGACAAGAAAAAGAAACAAACAGGCTGGGTGCGGTGGCTCATGCCTGTAATCCCAGCACTTTGGGAGGCCGAGGCGGGTGGATCAACAAGTCAGGAGTTCGAGACCAGCCTGGCCAACAAAGTGATACCCTGTCTCTACTAAAAATGCAAAAAATTAGGGGGTCGTGGTGGTGGGTGCCTCTAATTCCAGCTACCAAGGAGGCTGAGGCAGGAGAATCCCTTGAACCCAGGAGGCAGAGGCTGCAGTGAGCTGAGATCGTGCCATTGCACTGCAGCCTGGGCAACACGAATGAAACTCCATCTCAGAAAAAAATAAAAGAAAAAGAAACAAAAGGTATTCAGATTGGAAAGGAAGAATTGAAACTATCTCTGCTTATAAATGATATGATTTTATATAGAGAGAATCCTAATGAATCCAACAAAAAGCTACTAGTATTTACATGTATATTTCCCAGCTCTGTCCACTTAGAGGCCCCAGAAACAATATCCAGGTAGCAATGAGAACACACCCAGTGTCCAGATCTCGGTTTCTAATACCATTCCCCAGAGCAGAGGACCCTGGTTTCTCATACCATTCCCCAGAACAGAGGACCCTGGTTTCTCATACCATTCCCCAGTAGAGAGGACACTGCTTTCTAATACCATTCCCCAGAACAGAGGACCCTGCTTTCTAATACCATTCCCCAGTACAGAGGACCCTGCTTTCTAATACCATTCCCCAGTAGAGAGGACCCTGGTTTCTCATACCATTCGCCAGTGCAGAGGACCCTGCTTTCTAATACGATTCCCCAGAACAGAGGACCCTGGTTTCTCATACCATTCGCCAGTGCGGAGGACCCTGCTTTCTAATACCATTCCCCAGTAGAGAGGACCCTCGTTTCTAATACCATTCCCCATTGCAAAGGAACCAGCCTCCCTGGAGAAATGCCTGATTTCTTTTTTTATTTTTTGAGATGGGGTCTCGCTCGTCATCAGGCTGCAGTGCAGTGGCGTGATCTCGGCTTACCTCAACCTCCGCCTCCTGGGTTCCAGCGATTCTCCTGCCTCAGCCTCCCGAGTAGCTGGGATTACAGGCGCCCACCACCACACCCAGCTAATTTTTGTATTTTTGGTAGAGACAGGGTTTCACCATGTTGGCCAGGCTGGTTCAATCTCTTGACCTCATGATCTTCCCGCCTCGGCCTCCCAAAGTGCTAGGATTACAGGTGTGAGCCACACTGCCCGGCCCTGATGGTTTTGTTGTTTTTTTTTTTTTTTTTTTTTTTTTTTTAGTAAATAAACTTGTACCAGAAGAAATGGCTGATTCTAAGCCTGGGTCAGGAAATATCCAATATGAACCTGGAGCATCTTCTAGTGCCAGAAAGTACGAAAGAGCTCAAAGAACAAAATGGTGGGGATATGTCTATGGACACAGAAGCCAACTACAGAAGCTCCCAATGGCCAAAGCTGGAGCAATTTATACTACAGAATGAAGAGCCTAATACAGATTATAACCCAAAGTATAAAAAATAAATATCCATGAGACCCCACTGCCATAAATAAGTGATTGCCTAAACAAATAAATGAGGACGAATAGGCAACTCTCTTGTACAGTGGAACTCTAGATGATATACTGACATTTATCATGGAGGAGGTGGGGCATAACTCCCTACCGCTGAGGCAGGAGTTGCATAGAGTGACTTCCTACTAAAGAGTATAGTACGGAAAGCGGAGGAAAGGCCGGGCACGGTGGCTCACGCCTATAATCCCAGCACTTTGGGAGGCCAAGGCGGGTGGATCACGAGGTTAGGAGTTCAAGACAAGCCTGGCCAACATGGTGAAACCCCATCTCTACTAAAAATACAGAAAATTAGCCAGGCATGGTGGCAGGTGCCTGCAATCCCAGCTACTCAGGAGGCTGAGGCAGGAGAATCGCTTGAACCCAGGAGGCAGAGGTTGCCGTGAGCCGAGATTGCGCCATTGCACTCCAGCCCGGGCAATAACGCGAGACTCCATCTCAAACAAACAAACAAACTAAAAAGAAAATGGCACTTTATCTCTGTGGTTTTCCTCCCCAAAACCCCAAACCCCAAACCCCAGTCTAATCATGAGAAAAACATCAGACAAATCCCAGTTGAAGGACATTCTACAACATGTATGACCAGTACTCCTTAAAACCGTCAAGTTCATTTAAAAAAAAGAAGGGCTGGACGCGGTGGCTCACACCTGTAATCCCAGCACTTTAGGAGGCCGAGGTGGGCGGATCACCTGAGGTCAGGAGTTCGAGACCAGCCTGGCCAACATGGTGAAACCCCGTCTCTACTAGAAATACAAAAATTATCCGGGTGTGGTGGCTCGAACCTGTAGTCTCAGCTACTTGGGGGGTTGAGGCGGTAGGATTGTTTGAGCCCAGGAGGCAGGGGTTGCAGTGAGCTGACATTGTGCCACTGTGTTCCAACCTGGGTGGACAGAGTGAGACCCTGTGTGAGAAACTTACATTTTATTTTATTTAGGTATTTGGTTTTGGGATTACAGGCATGAGCCTCCGCGCCTGGCCGAAACTTACATTTCAGAAGAGCGTAAGGAGACCTAATGACTGAATGTGATATGGCATCCTAGCTGAAATGCTAGAAATAGAACACTGGGTAAGAACGAAGGTAACCCAAATTATGTATGGTCTTCAGAAGACTGTATGAATATTGACTCATAGGTTTTGATAAATGTACCATAGTAATGGGATAACAATAGGAGAAACTGAGTGTATGGGTATATGGAAACTCTATATTTGATCGATTGATTGATTGAGATAGGGTCTCACTTTGTTGCCCAGGTTGGAGTGCAGTGGTGTGAACATGACTCACTGCAACCTCAACATTCCGGGCTCAAAACATCTTCACGAAGCTGCCCAAGTAGCTGGGAATACAGAAGCATGCCTTGCCAGTTTTTACAATTTGTGAAGAGATGGGGTTTCTTTGTTTTCTTTCTCTTTTTTTTTTTTTTCGAGACAGAGTCTCACTCTGTCACCCAGGCTGGAGTGCAGTGGTGCGATCTCAGCTCACTGCAACCTCCGCCTCCCAGGTTCAAGCAATTCTTCTGCCTCAGCCTCCCGCGTAACTGGGATTACAGGCGCCCGCCACCACACTCAGCTAATTTTTATATTTTTAATAGAGATGGAGTTTTGCCATGTTGGCCAGGCTGGTTCCAAACTCCTGACCTCAGGTGATCCACCCACCTCGGCCTCCCAAGGTGCTGGGATTACAGGCGTGAGCCACCGGGCCTGGCCGAGATGGGGTTTCAACATCTTGTCCAGGTTGGTCTTGAACTCCTGGGCTCAGGTGATTTTCCCAACTTGCCCTCCCAGTGTGCTGGGATTATAGTCCTGAGCCTCCAGGCCCAGCCATCTCTACACTATCCTTGCAAATTTTTTGTAAATCAAAAATATTCTAAAGCAAAAATTTATTGAGAAAAATATACACATACATATCACATGTACACACATACACATAGTTGCAGAAAAGGGAACAGAAGAAAAAATAGTTTAAAAAACCTTTTTGTTTTTCCATTAAATATTCTTTAATAAATATGTACTACTTTGAACATAAAAAATGCTTTTCTTTAAACTATGAGAATAGAAAATGCTTATTTGTTTGAAATGTAACCCTGGCTTTCTCTTTCTACTGTATTCTACCCATTACTATTCTATATTTTGTATTTTATTATATTATTACTATTTTTGAGACAGGATCTCACTCTGTCACCCAGGCTGAGTGCAGTGGCATGATCACAGCTCACTGCAGCCTTGACCCCCCCAGGCTCAAGTGATCCTCCCACCTCAGCCTCCTGAGCAGCTGGGGCTATAGGTGAGTGACACCACACCTGGATAATTTTTTGTTTTTTGTAGACAGGGTCTTACCATATTGCCCAGGCTGGTCTTGAACTCCTGGGCTCAACTGATCCTTCCACCTCAGCCTCCTGATTAGCTGGGACTATAGGTGCGTGCCACCACATTTGGTTCATTTCTTATGTTTTGTACACAGGGTCTCGCCATACTGCCCAGGCTGGTCTTCAACTCCTGGGCTCAAGTGATCCTCTCACCTCAGTCTCCCAAAGTGTTGGGATTACAGGTGCGAGCCGCTACGCTCAGCCTTTTTTATTTTTATTTATTTATTTATTTGAGTCAGAATCTAGCTCTGTCACCCAGGCTGGAGTGCAATGGTGAGATCTTGGCTCACTGCAACCTCCGCATCCCGGGTTCAAGCAATTCTCCTGCCTCAGCCTCCAGAGTAGCTGGGATTAGAGGTGCCCGCCACCACTCCCAGCTAGTGTGTGTGTGTGTTTAGTAAAGACAAGGTTTCACCATATTGGTCAGGCTGGTCTTGAACTCCTGACCTCGTGATCCACCCACCTCTGCCTCCCAAAGTGCTGGGATTACAGGGGTGAGCCACCACACCCAGCCAGCCTATTTTATTTTATTTTATTTTGAGACAGGGTCTCGCTCTGGTGCTGGAGTGCAGTGGCATGAGGTTGCTTACTGCAGCCCCAACCTTTTGCGCTCGAGTGATCCTCCCACCTCAGCCTTCTGAGTAGCTGGGATCATAGGCACGTCCTACCATGCCCAGCCAATTTTTAGTTGTTGTTTACAGACACAGTGTCTCTTCCTAATGCAGTCTCCCTTAGTATCTCACTGGTCTTTAAGTAAAAAAGAAAAAATTTAAAAATTGGAATAACAAAAGATATGTGGTCTCCCTGTGTTCCCCAAGCTGGTCTTGAACTCCTGGGCTCAAGCAATCCTCCTGCTTCGGCCTCCCAAAGTGCTAGGATTACAGGTGTGAGACACTGCACCTGGCCTACTCTTCTATAATAAGAGTCTCATCTTTCTCTTATGTTGAACGTGATACAGATACTGGGTTCTTTTTAACTTTTTTTTTTATTTGAGATGGAGTCTCGCTCTGTCGCCCAGGCTGGAGTGCAGCGGCGCGATCTCGGCTCACTGCAAGCTCCACCTCCTAGGTTCACGCCATTCTCCTGCCTCAGCCTCCCAAGTAGCTGGGATTACAGGCGCCCGCTGCCACGCCCGGCTAATTTTTTGTATTTTTAGTAGAGACGGGGTTTCGCTGTGTTAGCCAGGATGGTCTCGATCTCCTGACCTCTTGATCCGCCCGCCTCGGCCTCCCAAAGTGCTGGGATTACAGGAGTGAGCCACCGCGCCTGTCATCTTTTTAACATTTTTTAAGGAATTCTTATTTGCCATGAGCCAAGGAATGCACAGAGACTAGATTCCCATGGACAGCTCACTCCTACCGAACACATACAATGGGACACACCTGTGCTGGGTGAAAGGCGCAGCCTAGAGGGCTGGCAGGTGTTGGGTGAGGCTCAGGTTTCAGGCTGAGGGGAGGAGGGTCAGCTGGCAGATCCTCAGCAACTCTGGCAGCCTCACAGGGCCACAGCCCCCCTGGAGCTCTTGGTTCCCCCAGGGTCAAACCAGGTCTCAGTCATGGAGCTAGGATCAAGCTTTCCTACCCTCCTCAGTAGGAGGCCCCCTTCTTCCCAGGAGGGAGAGCTAGGGGAAGGGAGATAGTGGAGGGTGAGGGAACGGCATTCGCATTTGTAAGCAGTGCCCTGGAGCTGCATGCTGGAGATAAGAGAAGGCCCCTCCCGAGGCTGGGAGCAGAGGGAGCTGCAGCCTGAGGCTTGGGCAGGACAGGTGAACCCAGGTTTCCCAACCACTGAATCACCCTTTGCCCCACCACGCACATGCGCTCTTGCGTGTGGACGCACGTGCACACACACGCACACCCCACAGCTTCCACGTGGCAATGTGTCTAAGCCCAAGATCCTGGACAGCCCAGACACAGAACTGCCATGAGAACCCACAGCAGTCCCACTCGGGAGCCCTCATCAGCACTGCTGAGTGCCAACCGAACAACAGTGAGAACGAGAACACAGACCCTTATCCTGGGACCACACAGTTGGCTTCTCAAGGCTTCATGAAATTCTTCTTTTTATTTTTTCTTTGAGACACAGTCTTGCTCTGTCACCTAGGCTGGAGTGCAGTGGCGTGATCCTGGCTTACTGCAACCTCTGCTTCCCAGGCTCAAACAATTCTCATGCCTCAGCCTCCCAAGTAGCAGGGACTACAGGCATGTGTCACCACACCCAGCTAATTTTGGGGGTATTTTTTCTTCTTTTTTTTTTGAGACAGAGTCTCACACCATCACCCAGGCTGGAGCGCAGTTGTGCGATCTCGGCTCACTGCAACCTCTGTCTCCCAGCTTCAAGCAATTCTCCTGCCTCAGCCTCCCAAGTAGCTGGGATTACAGGCACCTGCCACCACCTGCTAATTTTTTGTATTTTTAGTAGAGACGGGGTTTCACTATGTTGGCCAAGCTGGTCTCAAACTCCTGACCTCGTGATCCACATGCCTCAGCCTCCCAAAGTGCTGGGATTACAGGCATGAGCCACCGCGCCCAGCCTAATTTTTGTATTTTTAGTAGAGATGGGGTTTCTCCATGTTGGCCAGGCTGGTCTCAAACTCCTGGCCTCAAGTGATCCGCCCACCTTGGCCTCCCAAAGTGCTGGGATTACAAGTGTAAGCCACTGTGCCTGGCCTAAATTCTTCTTTAGCATCATGCAATCTGCCTTAATTGAGAAATGTTATCACGAAAACCCACATGAAACTCAATATTGCACTTACTGTAGGAGCTATTATTGGAAGCTAGTGATCCTGAGAACTTGCCTAGAGTTTCAGTGCAAGAAAAGGCTGGCTTCGGCTGGGTGCAGTGGCTCTCGCCTGTAATCCTAGCACTCTGGGAGGCCGAGGCGGGTGGATCATGAGGTCAGGAGATCGAGACCATCCTGGCTAACATGATGAAACCCCGTCTCTACTAAAAATACAAAAAAAAAAAAAAAAAAAAAAAAAAGCTGGGCATGGTGGCGAGTGCCTGTAGTCCCAGCTACTCGGGAGGCTGAGGCAGGAGAATGGCGTGAACCCGGGAGGCGGAGTTTGCAGTGAGCCAAGATCGTGCCACGGCACTCCAGCCTGGGCGACAGGGCAAGACTCCGTCTCAAAAAAAGAAAAAAAAAAGAAAAGGCTGGCTTCTCCTGATTAATGGTCATCTTATTTTTGACACAATTTGTAATAACTTTTTTTTTTGAGACAGAATCTTGCTCTGTTGCCCAGGCTGGAGTGCAGTGGCGTGATCTGGGCTCACTGCAAGCTCTGCCTCCTGGGTTCACACCATTCTCCTGCCTCAGCCTCCTGGGTAGCTGGGACTACAGGCACCCGCCACCATGCCTGGCTACTTTTTTGTATTTTTTAGTAGAGACGGGGTTTCACCATGTTAGCCAGGATGGCCTCGGTCTCCTGACCTTGTGATCCACCCGCCTCGGCCTCCCCGAGTGCTGGGATCACAGGCGTGAGCCACCGCACCTGCCACGTAGAGCCTATTTTCTTATCCATAAAACAATACCTACTTCACGGGGTTGTTCTGAGGATTAAGACAATCTATGTAAAATAATTAGCCAATACACAACCTATAGCATGCTCAGTAAATGGTAGCTGGTATAACAATTATGGGTTTCTTGTTTGTTTTTTTGTTTGAGATGCAGTCTGGCTGTTGCCCAGGCTGGTCTTAAATTCCTGGGCTCAAGCAGTCCTCCCGCCTCGGCCTCCCAAAGTGTTGGGATTATGAGCACGAGCCACCACATCCGGATAAAGGAAGTCCCTGTCCGGGATCACCTGAGGCTAAAGAGAGCTGCGTCACCCAACGTCATGCTCCCCCTAGGGACAGCTGCATTCCTGACAAGGGCCATCCCAGCTCCAGAGAGTCACTCCTATTGAGAGATTTGCTGAGGCCTTTGTTTCCTGAGCTCCAGGCCGACGTCCCCTAATCCTGCAGCCCTGCCTCCTCACAGGTATTAATCCTGAGGGCATTTTTTTTCTTTCTTTTTGGGCGGGGGGCGGGGGGGGCACGAGGTTTTGCTCTTACTGCCCAGGCTAGAGTGCAATGGCACAATCTTCACTCACTGCAACTTCCAACTCCCGGGTTCAAGCGATTGTCCTGCCTCCGCCTCCTGAGTAGCTGGGGTTACAAGCATGCGCCACCGCGCCCAGCTAATTTTGTATTTTTAGTAGAGATGGGGTTTCACCATGTTGGTCAGGCTGGTCTTGAACTGCTGACCTCAGGTGACTCACCCACCTTGGCCTCCCAAAGTGCTGGGATTACAGGCATGAGCCACAGTGCCCGGCCTCCTGAGGGCATCTTTAATAAACTTCCTGATCACAAATCTCCCTCTTGGTCTGCTTCCCAGACACCCAACCTCTGTCTGTTGTAAGGAGAGGTTATTAAATGGCCCTGTCTCTGACAGTCTAATGTATTTCTCTCCACAATGGCATGTACCCTCCTAGTTCCCCTGAGAGTACACTGTCTTCTTGGGGATGCATCTAGACCTGGTAATTTCTAGAAACTGATCGAAGTTAGAGACTGGGAGAAAATACAGAAATCCTAATCCTGGCCGGGCGCGGTGGCTCACGCTTGTAATCCCAGCACTTTGGAGGCCGAGGCGGGCGGATCACGAGGTCAGGAGATGGAGACCATCCTGGCTAACGCGGTGAAACCCCACCTCTATTAAAAATACAAAAAGTTAGCCGGGCGTGGTGGCGGGCGCCTGTAGTCCCAGCTATTCGGGAGGCTGAGGCAGGAGAATGGCGTGAACCCGGGAGGCGGAGCCTGCAGTGAGCCGAGATCACGCCAGTGCACTCCAGCCTGGGCCACAGAGTGAGACTCCGTCTCAAAAAAAAAAAAAAAAAAGAAATCCTAATCGTTCCTGCACCAATTCCCATCCTTACTTCCTACTTCGCCCTGCCCAAATGAAAAAATACAAAAATTAGCTGGTCGTGGTGGCGGGCACCTGTAATCCCAGCTACTCGGGAGGCTGAGGCAGGAGAATCGCTTGAACCCAGGAGGCGGAGCTTGCAGTGAGCCGAGATCGCGCCACTGCACTCCAGCCTGGGCAACAAAGAGCAAAACTCCGTCTCAAAAAAAAACACAAAAGATTACAACTCCAAGACCAGCCTGGGCAACATGGTGAAACCCTGTCTCGACAAAAACACAGACATTAGCCTGGTGTGGTGGTGTGTGCCTGTGGTCCCAGCTATTCAGGAGGCTGAGGTGGGAGGCAGAGGTTGCAGTGAGCCAAGATCATGCCACTGCACTGTAGCCTGGGCGATGGAGCGAGACCCTATAGTAACAAAACAAAACAACAACAAAAAAATTCCACAAACGACTAAAGAGGAACAAACCAATCAGACTTCTCAGAAGTACTTGGCACTGAACTTTTCAAAGGATCCTTACCAAAATCGAGCTTTTTTGTTTTCCCTCTGAAGTCTCATGTTAAGCAAGAGGGGAAAACCCAGTGTCTGCCTGGGGTAAGAAAAGTCGCAAAAGTCTTCAAAGGTCATCAAGGTTTTAAATGTTCACAGTAATGAGTTTCTTTTTTTTTTCTTTTTTTTTTTTGAGATGGAGTCTTGCTCTGTCGCCCAGGCTAGAGTGTAGTGGCATGATTTTGGCTCACTGCAACCTCCACCTCCTGAGTTCAAGCGATTCTCCTGCCTCAGCCTCCCGAGTAGCTGGGACTACAGGCACCCACTACCATGCCCAACTAATTTTTTGTATTTCTAGTAGAGACGGGGTTTCACCGTGTTAGCCAGGATGGTCTCGATCTCCTGATCTCATGATCCACCTGCCTCGGCTTCTCAAAGTGCTGGGATTACAGGCGTGAGCCACCACGCCTGGCTCCAAGTTTCTTCATGGAGCTCTATCTGCAAGGATCTGAGTCGAGAGGGCACACACACAGGAGGCAAATTCACGACCTGAACCAAGGCCCATTCTCCTGAGAGACTTTCAGGTCACTGACGTAGCTACAGATATTGGAAAAAAATGCATCTGTAGTAGTTCAGTTGAGGAGAGGGGATGGGTGGCAGTAAATCTTAAGGGGCTCAGGGGCATCTATTCCAAATTTCCAGAGAGGGTCCTCACAGTCTGTCATTGCATATACATCAAATGTAAATGTATCCTTAGGGGGGTTTTTGGTTTTGTTTTCAGAGACAGAGTCTCACTCTGTTGCCCAGGCTGGAGTGCAGTGGTACAATCACAGCTCACTACAGCCTTCAACTCCTGGGCTCGAGGGATCCTCGCACCTAAGCCTCCTCAGGAGCTGGGACTATAAGGGCATGGGCCACCACACCCAGCTAATTTTTAATTTTTTTATTTGTGATATGGTCTTGATCTGTCATCCAGGCTGGAGTGCAGTGGCATGATCACAGCTCACTACGGCCTTGACCTCCTGGGTCCACCTCAACCTCCCAAGTAGCTGGGACTACAGGTGCATGCCATCATGCCTGTGTTTCATTATATATATATATGTTGAGAGAGAGAGAGAGAGAGAGAGAGAGAGAGTAGAGAGAGAGAGTAGATATGGGGTTTCACCATTTTGCCCAGGCTGGTCTTGAACTCCTGGGCTCAAGCAATCCTCTTGCCTCAGCCTCCCAAAGTGGTGGGATTACAGGAGTGAGCCACCACACCCAGAGAATTTTTAAATTTTTTGTGGCGATGGAGTCTCGCTCTGTTGCCCAGGCTTGTTTCAAACTCCGAGCCTCAAGCAATCCTCCCACCTTGGCCTCCCAAAGCACTGGGATGACAGGTGTGAGACAGCATGCCCAGGCATGAATGTGTCTTTAAACATACCTTTTACTTTCTTTTTTTTTTTTTTTAACTGTAGTCATAATAGCTATTTACTTGGGTAAAATTTTCTCAGGATATTTTTGGTATGTGGGGCAGAGGGAGAGCTAGCAAGTGAGAGAAGCTGTCTTTTCAGTACAAAGAGCTCACAGTACTCCGGTCTCCACTGGAAGTTCCGTCTTTATTTTTAAAGGAATCTGGTCATGAGTCTGTTGACCAAGCACATCCTGGTAATCTATTGTCAGATGAGAAGTGTTCTGGATTTCCAACTTATACCATGCATGATAGATGCTGAGTTTCAAGCATAAAACTACTCTAGTTACCAAGATCATACTGCTTTTATGTTGATATAACTTAATTTTATTATTTGCTTCACCTCCCACCAGAATCACTTATTTGCTCACTTTTCTTGTCTATGCTCTAGAATGCACTTACTGCTTAAGCGGCATATTATATGAACCATCCTTTTACATTATAGTTTATTAAAAAGTGGCTTTTGCCGAGTGTGGTGGCTCACGCCTGTCATCCCAGCACTTTGGGAGGCCGAGACAGGTGGATCACGAGGTCAGGAGATCGAGACCATCCTGGCTAACACAGTGAAACCCCGTCTCTACTAAAAATACAAAAAATTAGCCGGGTGTGGTGGCGGGCGCCTGTAGTCCCAGCTACTCGGGAGGCTGAGGCAGGAGAATGGTGTGAACCCGGGAGGCAGAGCTTGCAGTAAGCCGAGATTGCGCTACTGCACTCCAGCCTGGGCAACAGAGCGAGACTGTCTCAAAAAAAAAAAAAGAAGTGTCTTTTCTTTTTTCTTTTTTCTTTTTGAGACAGGGTCTCACTCACCCAGGCTGGAGTGCAGTGGCGTGAACTTGGGAGCCTCGACATCTGGGCTCAAGCCATCCTCCCACCTCAGCCTCCCGAATAGCTGGGACTACAGGCACACACCATCACACCCACCCTGCTAATTTATATTTTGTAGAGACAGGATTTTACCATGTTTCCCAGGCTGGTCTTGAAGTCCCAGGCTCAACTGATCAGCCCACCTTGGCCTCCCAAATTGCTGAGATTACAGACGTGAGCCTCTGCGCCTGCCCAAAGCAGCTGTTCTTTTGCAAGGATTTATTGGTCTGTGGTGCCTCTCCCTCAGTACCCTTGCGTGGTTCTTTTCTTTTTTTCTTTTTTGTTTACTGGAGCTACCCACCATGAACTATTGGTTGGTTATTTATAAAAATATGTTTAGGTTTATGCACATCATTATATTTATTTGCCCACGTGGGCCCCTTGAGCATCAGAGCTTCCTAAAGCAGGATCTTTGCAGGCCATCTCATCCCTCCTCATCATGTATGGATACACAAACCGAGGTCCATTGAGTCCTTTTGAAGAAGGATAGCTGCAGCTAGCTGAAGGCCAAGGCAGGTGGATCACTTGAGCCCACGAGGTTGAGGCTGCAATAAGCTGTGTTCTTGCCACTGAGAGAGAGACTCTGCCTTAAAAAAAAGTGCAAGCTGCAAAGTGGTTGCCTTTTGCTGAGGAGGTGGGTACTGGGAGCAGCAGGAATTGACTGGAAAGAGGCATGAGGACACGTTCCTTTTTTTCCCTTTTTTATTTTTTATTTTATTTTTTGAGACAGTCTCGCTCTGTCACCCAGGTTGGAGTGCAATGGTGCGATCTTGGCTCACTGCAACCTCCACCTCCCAGGTTCGAGTAATTCTCCTGCTTCAGCCTCCTGAGTAGCTGGGATTACAGGTGCATGCCACCATGCCAACTAATTTTTGTTCCCTTTTCTATTTTTTACATGTAATAATTATATATATATATATGTATGTATTTTTTAAGTGCTATTTTTGTTGCATTAAGAGTATGGCTCCCCAGGGACCACAAAGGCCTTTTAGAAGCCTCCGTATGTATTTATAGGTTATCAACAACAACAACAACAAAAAAACCTCTGCTGAAACATACGCAATAGTGATTTAAGAAGAAAAGGAATTTTTCACATTGGATGAGAAAGAACTTCCCAAGTTAGTTGCCTTTACAAATTCAAACATGACGGGCTATCGGCTTGGAGTGTTTTTTAAGAGTGACGATGGGAGGCTTATGGTAAGCCCATTGTTTGACGTGACCCAAGCATGGCCTGGTTAATTTTGACCATGCTCACAGCAGTGGTAGAAGCAACTAGCCACACAGTACCGTACTTGTTCTGAAACACCCATCTCTACTTGTGAAAAAGTAGAGGATCATTGAAGGATCTTAAGAAAAATTTCTGGACCATAGCATATCTCTGCAGCAAAAGAAAAGTAACATATTTGAATGTAAACAAAAACCTGAGACTCACCCCCACACCCCAATGCTCACCACACTCATAAGAAAGGAAGTGAGAATGGGAACCCCCAAAGGCCCACAGAACCTATATACAACTGTCTTTCTCTGTGAAAACAGATCAGCCCCAGAACCTCTATACGCCTCTCTATGTGAAAACAATAAATCAGCCCCAGAACCTATATACACTTGTCTTTCTCTGTGAAAACAATGAATCAGCCCCAGAACCTATATACGCCTCTCTTTCTATGTGAAAACAATAAATCAGCCCCAGAACCTATACACGCCTCTCTTTCTATGTGAAAACAATAAATCAGCCAGAGAACCTATATACGCCTCTCTTTCTATGTGAAAACAATAAATCAGCCCCAGAACCTATACACACCTCTCTTTCTATGTGAAAACAATAAATCAGCCAGAGAACCTATATACGCCTCTCTTTCGATATGAGAACAATAAATCAGCCACAGAACCTATATATGCCTCTCTTTCTATGTGAGAACAATAAATCAGTCACAGAACCTATATACACCTCTCTATGTGAAAACGATAAATCAGCCAAAGAACCTATATACGCCTCTCTTTCTCTGTGAAAACAATAAATCAGCCCCAGAACCTATATATGCCTCTCTTTCTCTGTGAAAACAATAAATCAGCCAGAGAACCTATATATGCCTCTCTTTCTCTGTGAAAACAATAAATCAGCCAGAGAACGTATATACGCATCTCTTTCTATGTGAAAACAATAAATCAGCCCCAGAACCTATATGCGCCTCTCTTTCTATGTGAAAACAATAAATCAGCCCCAGAACCTATATACGCCTCTCTTTCTATGTAAATACGATAGATCAGGATGCCAGAAAATATGTGATTGTCCCCTTCACATTACCTTCCTAATTAATGATTCAAAACTTTAGCAATCCATAATTTTATTTTTTTTCCTTATACAGGGCCTACCCTGCTTCTAGATAATCCCACAACAGATACTAAATAAAACCTTACACAATTGAATTGAAGGAAGTAAGCTTTGTTTGTGTAGTACCTGAGTGAGTTTAGAGAGTACAAACATTGCCCATAACTGAGTATAATAGATATCACAAGCATCTTCCCTATATCACCTCAAACATAAAAATAAAATGCCAGGAGATTTAACGATGTGAATGGGAAAGTCCAAATTATAAGCCTTTTAGAAAAAAACTAAATAGAAAAGTATCTTATTACGTTGGGATAGTAAATGATTTTTTCCTTTCCCACCCCCCACTTTTTTTTTTTTTTGTTGGCAGCCTCCTGAGCCAGAGTAGGCTCAGAGACTCCAGTTTTTTGTGTTTTTGTTTGTTTGTGTTTTGAGACAGAGTCTTGCTCTGTCACCCAGGCTGGAGTGCAGTGGCGTGATCTTGGCTCACTGCAACCTCTGCCTTGTGGGTTTAAGCGATTCTCCTGCCTCAGCCTCCCGAGTAGCTGGGATTACAGGCACCCACCACTACACCCAGCTAATTTTTTGTATTTTTAGTAGAGACGGGGTTTCACCATGTTGGCCAGGCTGGTCTCGATGGTCTCCTGACCTTGTGATCTCCCTGCCTCATGATCCCTCACCCTCCCAAAGTGCTGGGATTACAGGTGTGAGCCACCGCGCCCGGCCCTGTTTTTGTTTTTAAGTAGAGATGGACCTCGGCCTCGCAAAATGCTGGGATTACAGTTGTGAGCCACCATGCCTGGCTGGAAGTGATTTTCAAAATCAGACATAAAATGTGCAAGCCATACAAGAAAATTATTGATAAATTTTATTCTATTAAAACTCAGAATTGATATTTATTAAAAGATTCCATAAAGAAAGCAAAAATCAAGCTACAAACATTTTAACATACATAATCAAAAAATTATTTGCATACAAAATATGTTCTAATTCTTTAAACCATTTATGTGTGTTATATACACTATTCTGAAAACAAAAACCAGCACCCAAGACAGACAAAGCGTGTGGAGCTAGTGTGGCTAAGTTGAGGCGGGAAATTAATGCTGCAACAAAGTTACTGACTGTCTCCAACCTGTTTTGTGGTGTTACACATGGGCATAATAATAGCTCCTTCCTCATAAGGCTCTCGGAGCTATAAACCACAGTGTGTCTAAAATACCTTGCCCAGGGTCTGGCGCATGGCAAGAGCTCAACCAATGGTGAATGGTTGGAACTATAAATAAATAATCGTGTCAGAGCCGAGTGGGAATCAAACTCAGCTCCTTAAGTCCTCCATGACCTAGACAGGATTGTTCCAGACCATGTGGCAGAAGTTAAGGGGCCTTGGTGATGAAGGCAAGAATGCCCACACTGTTTCTCCTGTTCCTCCCTCTTTCTGTCCCTGAGGCAGTAGCTGACTCCAAACTGAGTCTCCCACACATATCCAGCAGGGCTCAGCCTCAGGGAATCCATAGGATTCTGGGGGTGGACCTTTGGGAGGAGAAACCATCTCAACTAAGACACTTTCCTCTCTCGTCAGCAAAGATATTCAGAGATGGATAGCCGACTTACATTTTTATTTTCTTCATTAATTAATTTTTTTGAGACAGGTTCTCTTTCTGTCACCTAGGCTGGAGTACAGTGGCAAGATCACTGCTCACTGCAGCCTCAACCTCCGGGGCTCCAGTGATCCTCTTGCCTCAGCCTCTCAAGTAGCTGGGACTACAGGTGTGATGCCCAGCTAATTTGTTTGTTTCTTTGGGTTTTAGTAGAGATGAGGTCTTACCATGTTGCTCAGGCTGACTGTTCCATGTCAGCCTCGCAGAGTGCTGAGATTACAGGCATGAGCCACCATGCTGGGCCAATTTACATTTTTTAATAGGAGAAACCAACTTGGCCCTAACTCAGGTGCACTGAAACCAGGAACTCTTACTCTGAATAGGTTTAGCTCATGAGATAAATTCCCCCAAATTATTGGCTCATTCGTAAATTGTCTTTTTTTTTTTTTTTTTTTTTGAGACGGAGTTTCGCTCCTGTTGCCCAGGCTGGAGCGCAATGGCGTGATCTCGGCTCACTGCAACCTCTGCCCCACAAGTTCAAGCAATTCTCTTGCCTCAGCCTCCCAGGTAGCTGGGATTACAGGCACCTGCCACCACGACCGGCTAATTTTTTTGTATTTTCAGTAGAGATGGGGTTTCACCATGTTGGCAAGACTGGTCTTGAACTCCAGACCTCAGGTGATCCACCCGTCTCGTCCTCCCAAAGTGCTGGGATTACAGCTGTGAGCCACTGTGCCGGCCCTTTTTTTTTTTTTTTTTTTGAGATGGAGTCTTTCTCTGTTGCCCAGGCTGGAGTGCAGTGGCACAATCTCAGCTCACTGCAACCTCCGCCTCCCGGGTTCAAGCAATTCTTCTGCCTCAGCCTCCCGAGTAGCTGGGATTACAGGCATGCACCACCATACCCAGCTAATTTTTGTATTTTTAGTAGAGATGCAGTTTCACCATATTGGCCAGGCTGGTCTTGAACTCCTGACCTCGTGATCCGTCCGCCTTAGCCTCCCAGACTGCTGGGATTACAGGTGTGAGCCACTGTGCCAAATTGTCTATTTTATCACAATTACATTTATGGATGTTAAGTAAGATACAAAATACAAAAATAAAAAGGAAGGGACTGAACAACAACAAAAAGAATGATTAGAAGGAGGCTGGATTCCATCAAGCGGGTCCAGGTCAGATGCTGGGGGCTCCACGGGCCCTTCTCCATGGAAGGACTGAACCCAATGCCCCTCCCTGCTGGGACGGTGGAGCTAGGAAGCTTTTCATAACAGGCCCAGTGCTTGGTGCCCATGGAGGCTAGAGCAAAAAACCTTCATGGGCCAGGCGTGGTGGCTCACGGCTGTAATCCCAGCACTTTAGGAGGCCGAGGCAGGCAGATCACCTGAGGTCAGGAGTTCGAGACCAGCCTGGCTAACATGGTGAAAACCTGTCTCTACTAAAAATCCAAAAATTGGCTGGGCATGGTGGGGTGCATCTGTAATCCCAGCTACTCGGGAGGTTGAGGCAGGAGAATCACGAACCCAGGAGGCGGCCAAGATCACACCACTGCACTCCAGCCTGGGTGGCAGAGTGAGATTCCATCTCAAAAATAAAATAAAATATTTAAACCTTCATGGGATGAGCAGAGACAGCCCTGTTCACCCGTTCTTATTGAATTTTGTGTCTTAGTTTTTTATTCCAAAAGCATAATGTCCACGTCCATTTCATTCTAAGACACTTTGAGGATTTGTTTGTGTCAGGAGCGCTTAGGGCCAGGAGGTTTGGTTCCTCTTCAAAACACTGAGGGAATGTGGACTTACTGTAGATAAGATTTGGGCGAAGCAGCTCCGACCCGAAGGACACAGGCCACGCAGTCCTAGTACCCCACAGAGCCAGCGGCCAGGCATGAGTCCCAGGGATGGGGGCAGACGCCGCATCCACCTTGTGTCCTAGGAGGGATGGGGCACACGCCGTATCCACCTTGTCGCCCTCTCACAGTCAAGGGCTAGAGAGCAGAACCCAGAAGTGGGGGCCACGCTGGGTCCCCCAGCCTGTAGGTTGGCATGGGGCTTCCTCAGGGACTAAGGGAGACCCAGAGGTGAAAGCCAAGAAATAGCCCCCCTCTCTCGTCCTCTTCCACCCTAACTGACCCCTTGGCTCCCAGCCCAGGCAGGCGCCCGGGAAGAATAAGGGCTGGACACGTGCAAGAGAAAAGGAACATCCAGGCTGCATCTCCCATGCGGACAGCTGACAGGAAGCCAGACCGAAGATCAAGAAGGGGGCACCCTAGTTTCCCCAAACCCACATGGCAAATAACTGCAGGCCTTCTGCAGGAAGTGTCATGAAAGGAAGCTGACCCGCAGAATCATCGGCTGGTATAATAACTGCCTTCCTGTGAGCCACTGCTAAAATTCTGCCACTCTTCCAGTCTTTAAGCCACACAAGCATTGCCTTCTAAGCCAAGGGAAGAATTTACTGTATCAGGAAAATGTATTGCAACATCATTCTCAGGATTAACATGTCTCTTTACCTTAGATCTTTATTTATCTTTCTGCCAGGTGACCAAAGTAGGACCTGAAGAATTATCCTCACACTCTATCACAAAAAAAAAAAAAAAAAAAAAAAGGCTACTGAGCTGAGTGGGGTGGTGCAGCCCTGTAATCCCAGCTACTCAGGATGCCATGGCAGGAGCAATGCTTGCGTCCAGGAGTTTGAGATCAGCCTGGGCAATATAGCGAGACCACGTCTCTAAAAATAAAAATAAGTTACTGTGGAGAATGAATGAGTGGCTAATCCCGTGTTTTGCTGAGGGTTTTTAGATGACCCCAACTTCTCAGAACCTGGCTCCGAAGATCAGTCATCCCCACAGCCAGCCCATGACCGTCTCTGCAGTAGGGTGAGCTGGCCTTTGGGTGGCTTTTGGGGAAACTGCCTTTAGCTCTACATGCCACAAGGATTTGTAAAAGCAGCTCCCAAGCAAAACCGGAGAGCAAAACTTGAGGCTCCACGGAAGATACACGACCAACGCCCTGTTCCAGGTAAACGTAAGGCCAGGCCAGGGTCTCCCATGTCCCCCTACCCACCAGACCTACACGGAAGATAGCGCCATGGAAGTGGCATCCAGACATCGAAGGGGCAGGAGTCAGGGTGGCCCCATCTCTCCAGCAGGCAGGAGGGCCATGGGGGTCC